>NC_000024.10:4240356-4540766 GCF_000001405.40 Homo sapiens | reverse complement strand
CTCAGCTTCCGGAGTAGCTGGGACTACAGGCGCCCGCCACCACGCCCGTCTAATTTTTTGTATGTTTTTTAAGTAGAGATGGGGTTTCACCGTGTTAGCCAGGATGGTCTCGATCTCCTGACCTCGTGATCCGCCCGCCTTCGCCTCCCAAAGAGCTGGGATTACAGGCAAGAGACACTGCGATCGGCCGACTAATTGCTTTTTTTAAGAGGATGGAAGACAGCAGGTTATCTGGTCCTGACGACAATACATAGAATAAAAAAACAAAGGAATAAAATAAAGACAAAAATACAAAATTGAACTTGTAAGGGAAAATGTATGTTAAACTAAAAGGAAGTTTGCAAAGATGCTGATCTTTAAAATTTATATATATTAGAAAGGGTATCCACTTAAAATGAAAATATTTGTTAGAGGATTAAGTCATAAAATTATTTTTAAGAAAAATCCCCGTGCCCACTTTTAAACAACAACAACAAAAAAGCTGGTTCAGTAGCAAGAATATTTGGTAAGTTAATCATAAAAGATAAATAATAGTTTCAGATCATTTTTCGCAAAGGAAAAGGAAGAAAAGATAAATAAGTAATACAATGAGGAAAATCTCTTGGGCTCCGTAGGACTACACAATCATAAATATTAGTTAACAATTTTTAAAGACGGCAGTATGTGAAGAATCAAGGAGTAATAAAATAAGAAAAGTAAAATATAGAATATTTGGATTCACGAAATGATAATATGAGCTTTAACCACAACAAAACACAACTTCATGAAACATTATTTCCATTGTGAATGATGAATGATGCAATGATTGTGTCTAAGGAAAGCATTATTGTCTGATTCACATTGCAAGTAAAACAAATGCTAATTTACTATGCATCACTGCTATTGTTGTCAGTGGGCCAGTTCAAGTTCTTGATTTAACCGCACAAAACAATTTGAGAGCAAATTCAAAGTAAGAGTAGGCAGAGAAGCTTATTGTAAACAGAAAGCATACTCTGAGAGTATGCTGGCTGCCAAGGGGAGAGACAGCAGCTATCGCCTTAAGAGGAATTCCTTGTATGGGATTTGTACATACATACCTACATATTTATTTATTTATTTATGCTTATTTGTATTTGTTCTTTTAACTTTTATTTTAGGTTCAGGGGTACATTTGCAGGTTTGTTGTATAGGTGAACACATGTCATGGGGATTTGGTGTACAGATTATTTTATCACCGAGATACTAAGACTAGTACCTGATAGATCTTTTTTTTCTGATCCTCTCCCTCCTCCCACCCTCCACCCTCGAGTAGGCTCCAGTGTCTGCTGTTAGCCTCTTGGTTTCTATGTGTTGTCATTATTTAGCTCCTACATATAAGGGAGAACAAGTGGTATTTGATTTTCCATTCCTGCATTAGTTTGCTAAGAATAATGGTCTCCAGCTCTACCCAAGCTACTGAAAAGAAAATTATGTCATTCTTTGTATGGCTGCATAGTATTCCACGGCCTATAGGTACCACATTTTTCTGTCCAGTCTACTGTTGATGTGCATGCGTTTAGGTTGCTTAAATGTCTTTGATATTGGGGATAGTGCTGCGATGAACACACACATACGTATGTCTTTATGGTAGAACAATGTATTATATTCCTTTGGGTATATAGCCAGTAATGAGTTTGATGGGGAAAATGATAGTTCTGTTTTTAGGTCTTCGAGGAATCAGCACACTCTTTTCCACAATAATTAAACTAATTCACACTCCCAACAGCAGGGTAAAAGTGATCCCTTTTCTCTGCAACCTTGCCAGCATCTGTTATTTTTTGTCTTTTTAATGATTAGCCATTCTTACTGGGTGAGATGGTATCTCATTGTGGTTTTGATTTTTATTTCTCCAATGATCAGCGATACTGAGCTTTTGTTCATATGCTTCTTGGCCACATGTATGTCTTCTTTTGAAAAGTGTCTGTTTATGTCCTTTGCCCACTTTTTAATGTTTTTTGTTGTTGTTGTTTGTTTGTTTGTTTTTGCTTATAAATTTAAGTTCTTTCTAGATACTGGATATTAGACCTTTGTCAGATGAGAGTTTGCAAAATTTTCTCCCATTCTGTAGGTTGTCTGTTACTCTGTTCATAGTTTCTTTTGCTGTGCAGAAGCTCATTAGTTTAATTAGATCATATTTATCCATTTTTGCTTTTGTTGTAATGGCTTTTGGTGTCTTTGTAATGAAATCTTTGCCAGTTTCTATTTCCAGAATGGTATTTCCTTGGTTATCTTATGTTGATTTTATAATTTTAGCTGTTACATTTAACTCTTTAATCCATCTTGAGTTGATTTTTATGTATAGTGTAAGGAAGGGATCCAGTTTCAATCTTCTGCATATGGCTAGCCAGTTATCTCGGCACTATTTATTGAAGAGAGTCCTTTCCCCATTGAATGTTTTTGTCACCTTTGTCAAAGATGAGATCATTGTAGGTATGTGGCATTATTGCTGAGCTGTCTGTTGTGTTCCATTGTTCTCTGTTTCTGTTTTTTTCTTTTGTTTTGTTTTGTTTTACCAGTACCATGCTGTTTTGGTTACTTTAACCCTATAGTATAGTTTGAATTTGGGTAACATAATGCCTTCACCTTTCTTCTTTCTGCTAAAGATTGATTTGGCTATGCAGGCTTCTTTTTTGTTTCATATGAATTTTAAAATAGCATTTACTAATTTTGTGAAGAATGTTATTGGCAGTTTGATAAGAATAACTTTCGAATCTGTAAGTTGGTTTTGGCAGTATGGCCATTTTAAAGATATTAATTCTTCCTACCCATGAGCATATATTTTTTTAAATTTGTTTGTGTTGTCTCTGATTTCTTTGAGCAGTGGTTTGTTATTTTTATTGTAGAGATCTTTCACCTCCCTGGTTAGCTGTATCACTAGATATTTTATCTAATTTGTGGCAATTGTGAATGTGATTGCGTGCCTGATTTGGCTCCTGGCTTGGATGTTGTTGGAGTACGGGAATGCTACTGATTTCTATATGTTTATTTTGTATCTTTAAATGTTGCTGAAGTTGTTTATCAGCTCTCAGAGCTTTTGTGAAGAGACTATGGGGTGCTTTAAGACATAGAATCATGTCATCTGCAAAAAGGGATAGTTTGACTTCCTCTCATCCTATTTGGATGTCTTTTAGTTTTTCTTCTTGTCTGATTGCCTGGTCAGGACTTTTGTACTATGTGGAATAGTGGTGGTGAAAGAGGGTATCCTTGTCTTGTGCTAGCTATAAATCAAAATGCTTTCAGCTTTTGCCATTCAGTATGATGTTGCCGGTGGGTTTGTCATAGATAGCTGTTATTATTTTAAAGTATGTTTCTTTAATGCATAGTTTATTGATCGTTTTTTTACATGAAGGGATTTTGAATTTTATTGAAAGCCATTTCTGCATCTACTGAGAAAATCATATGTATTTTTCTTTAGCACTGTTTACGTGATGAATTAAATTTAGTGATTTTTGTATGTTGAACCAACATTGCATCTCAGGGATAAAGATTACTGGATCATGGTGGATTAGCTTTTTGATATGCTGCTGGATTTGATTTGCTAATATTTTGTTGAGAATCTTTGCATCTATGTTTATCAAGAATATTGGCCTTAAGTTTTCATTTTTGTGTGTGTCTCTGTCCGGTATTGATATTGAGATGATGCTGGCCTCATAGAATGAGTTAGGGAGGGGTCCCTCCTCATTTTCTTAAGAATAGTTTCATTAGGAATGGTACCAGATTTTCTTTGTATACCTGGTATAACTTGACTGTGAATCCATCTGGTTCTAGGCCTTTTTGGGTTGTTAGTACATTTATTACTATTTTAATTTCAGAGCTTTATATTGGCCTATTCAGGGATTCAGTGTTTTCTGTTTCAGATTTTGAAGGGTGTATGTGTCCAGGAGTTTACCTGTTTCTTCTAGATTTTCTAGTTTTTGTGCATAGAGGTGTTCATGGTAGTCTCTGATAGTTATTGGTATTTCTGTGGGGTCACTGGTAATGGCTTCATTCTTTCTAATTGTGTTTATTTTTATCTTCTCTCTTTTCTTCTTTATTAGTCTAACTAGTGGTCAGTCTTATAATTTATTTTCTAAAAACCAACTCTTGGTTTTGTTGATTGTGCATGGATTTTTAAGCCTCAGTCTCCTTCAATTCAGCCTTATTTTGGTTATTTCTTGTCGTTTTGTAGCTCTGGGGTTGGTTTGCTCTTGCTTCTTTACTTCTTCCAGTTGTGACGTTAGGTTGTTAATTTGAGATCTTTCCAGCTTTCTGATGTGGGTGTTTCTTGTTATAAATTTCCCTTTAACACTGACATAGCTGTTTCCCAGAGATTCAACTATCTTGTCTCTTTGTTCTCATTAGTTTCAAAAAACTTGATTTCTGCCTTAATTCCATTATTTACCCAAAAGTCAATCAGGAGGAGGTTGATTAATTTCCATGTAATTGTATGGTTTTGAGCAATTTTCTTTGTATTGAATTCTATTTCTATTGTGCTGTGGTCTGAGAGTGTGACTGGTATGATTTCATTTTTTTAAAATTTTATGAGGATTATTTTATGTCTGATTATATGGTCAAGTTTGGTGTATGTGCTATGTGGTGATGAGAATAATGTACAATTTGTTGTTTTTGGATGAAGAGTTCTGCAGATGTCTATTAGATCCATGTGGTCAAGTGTTGAGTTCAGGTCCTGAGTACCTTTGTTATTTTTCTGCTTGGTTCTGTCTAATACTTTCAATGGAGTGTTGAAGCCTCCAACTAGTATTGTATGGATATCTAATAAGGAGCTTATTTCTCCTTCACCTACTAAGTTTATTTGGCTGAATATGAAATTCCTTGTTTAAGATTTTTTCTTTAAGAATGTTGAGTACAGGCCCCTCATCTTTTCTGGCTTATAGAATTTCTGCTGAAAGATCTGCTGTTAGCCTGATGGGGTTCTCTTTGTAGGTGACTTGCCCTTTGTAACTGCCTCATGCCATATTTTTTCTTTCATTTTGTCCTTGGAATGCCTCATGATTAGATGTCTTGGTGATGGTCTTCTTGTGTAGTATCTTGTAGGGGTTCTCTGCATTTCCTGAATTTGAATGTTGGCCTCCCCAGCGAGTTTGTGAATGTTTTTATGGACAATATCCTGAAATATGTTTTCTAAGTTGCTTGCTTTCTCCTCATTTCTTTCAAGTACATACTCCAATAAGTCATAGATTTTATCTCATTATGTAATCCCATATTTATCAGAGGTTTTGTTTGTTCCTTTTTAT
Organism: Homo sapiens; assembly: GCF_000001405.40. Lineage (NCBI taxonomy): Eukaryota > Metazoa > Chordata > Mammalia > Primates > Hominidae > Homo > Homo sapiens. The sequence goes on along the minus strand of NC_000024.10, from coordinate 4,535,514 downwards.
TTTATTTTTTTTCATTTTTATTTCTGTCTTATTTCAGAGAGCTTGTCTTCAAGCTCTGAGTTTATCTCTGCAGCTTGGTCTAGTCTGCTGTTCATACTTGCAATTTCATTATGAAATTCTTATAGTGTGTTCTTAGCTCTATCAGACTAGTTTGGTTCTTTTTTAATACTAACTGTTTTATCTATAAGATCCTCCATCATTTTTTGTGATCCTTTTCTTCCTTGGATTGAATTTTCATGTTCTCCTGAATCTCAATGATCTTCATTTCTATCCATATTCTGAACTCTACTTCTGATATTTCAGCCATCTCAGCTCAGCTGAGAACCCTTGCTGGGGAACTACTGTAGTCATTTTGAGGAAAGGAAACACTTTGGCATTTTGAGTTGCCAGTTATTGTGTTGGTATTTTTCTCATCTGCACTTGTGGGTGTTTCTTTAACTGCAGTGTAAATTGAGTAGTCAGTACACTCCTTTTCTTGGTGTTTTCAGATGGTTGAAGCTCTGTACATGGCCTTTATCAGAAACTGAATTCTTGTCTTTGGTTTCAAAGGAAGGTATGCTTAGAATGTAGTTTTGGTGTTTAAGTTTTGGTGTGTGATCCAGTAGGTGCTGCTTAGGCATAATGGTTAGTAAGTAAGTGCTGGTTCTGTTATGTGACTCCTGTTTTTCTTTTTCTTTTTTTTTTTTTCTCTTGATTGCAGCTACATTCTCTCTTAATGCTCTGAAAATGTGGTCTCCTCTCCCATTTGAGTGCTGGTTACAGATCTCAGCTTAGCAGTTTCGGGCTGCACACCCAAGCCCTGGAATAATCTCAGGCTTCATTTTTCCTCCCCAGCTTGGAAGCAGCAGGGAAAGGGAGCTTAGCAGCAGTTGTGGTCAATGCTACTCCACTTGTTCTGGGGCTCCAACCAAGAGAGATGTAAAGCTTCAGTCAATCAGTGTGATTGGCTAAGAATGGGGTGGCTGCACTGTGGGCCCAAACTGGGGTCACTTCCTGGTGATAAGCAGTGGAGTGTGTGTGATCTGTGGGAGACAGCCTGGCCTCTCCTTAGGGCAACTACAGCTTGCTTGAGGTATGGATAAGGCACTCAGGATCTTTGCTGTTTCCTTAGTCCAAGGGCAGCATGGGCAGTTTCACTGGAGAGGCAATGGCAAAAGGGATTTCTGTCTTCCCTGGGAGCTCCACCTATGAGAAAGGCAGAGCCATTGCTACTGGGAGTATTCAGCCAGTGAGTCCGGGTAGCTTTACTGCTGGCCTGAGCTAGGGGCTGTCATTGTCAGGGAGAAGGGTGTCTAGGGCTTACAGAGAAGAGAGACAGGGTTGTTCTCCATATGTTGGCTGAGATGTGCTGTAAGCCCAGGTGAAGCCCTCAAGCTCTTTGTTTCTTCTGCCGACTGAGGTCAGATGGGACAGATCCACTGCTGTGGCAGTGGCAGAGGGGCTGTCAGTTGGCTCTGGGAGCTCCTACCCACAGAAACTCAGAGCCACTACCAGTGGGTATGCTCAGCAATGGTTGGGGTGGCTGTTCTGCATTCCTGAGCCAGGGGACCTACCTGGTGAAGAGGGGGCATGGGGGCTTCCAGGGAAGAGAGACTGGACTCCTCTATGTATGCTGGCTGCACTGTACTGGAGGTGCCAGTGTAATGACTATTGTCTTTGTTCTTTTCCCAGCTTGAAGGCAATTAAGGCAGTACTACTGCAGCTGCAATGGTGGAGGGGCTGTGGATTGAATCTGGGATTTCCTCCTTGGAGAAGGCAAGGACAGGGGTTAGGCTGGAGTCCCAGGTCAGGAGGTCCTGCACAGTAAGGACAAGTGTGGACAGGGACCTGCATGGGGAACAGTCAGGCCACTTTTCTGTGGGGCAGCTGCACTGCACTGGGGGTCTGTGCCGAGCTCTAGTCGCCATGGATTCTCCAGAGGCTGAAGGCAACAGTGGCAAAGTATGTAAATAAGTAAAGATGGCAACCCACTCCTCCCTTTGGGGTCTCTGTCTCAGGGAGGTTCAGAGCTGCTGATGGCCCAAGAACTCCAGCAAGGAATGGCTGGATTCTCAGATCTGGAGGTCCTGGCCAGTGAGGAGAACGGGGATAAAGGCCTGCATTAAAAACAGTCTGGATGCTTTTTTGTAAGGCAGCTTCAATGTGTTGGGGGTCCCAGAAAGACCCTAGTTACCTCAGAATCTCCAGAGTATGAAGGTAACAGACAGAAAAGCATGAGAGCTAACAAAGATGACATCCCACCCCTCCCTCTGGGAACTTTGTCCCAGGGAAGTGTGGAGCTATTACTGGCCTCAGAGTTCCAGTAGGAGGTGGCTGGAGTCCCAAATTAGTGGTCTTTATTCTCTGAAGTAGAGTGGAAGCAAAGCCTTCAGACTGGCGCTGCTTAGCCCTTCGGGTTCAGCCCCTTTCCCCAGGGTATGTAAGAGAGCCTAACCTCCCCCTTTGCTGGAACTGCAGCTACTAATGCTGTGAAGCCCAGGATCCAAGGCTCCCAGGACACTGTGTGTGCTTGAGTGGTGGCTCTATCCAGACTCCACGTAGCTCTTCATAGCAGTCTGAAGGCCCTGGCTGAATGGGCTCCTGAGAGAATCTCCTGACCCAACAGTGGCAAAGATACATAAAAAAGTGTGGGTCCCTGAGATTTCTCACTCACTTGCCATTTCCCCATCGCGGGGACTCCCTTGTCTTAGTGCCACTTCTTTGTTGGCAGTTGTTCAGTCTTGTTTCTCTCCATTCTCTGTGGGTCAAGTTGTTTTCTTAATGAATCCCATTGTGTTCACCTGAATGTTTTAGTGGAAGGTATAGTATTTACTCACTACTGTTTCTTCTCTCCATGAGGACGGCACACATTAGCTGCTTCTAGTCAGCCATATTGACCCTCTCCCTACATATTTATAAAATACTGGTGAGGTAAGCTATGCAAAGGCAGATCTGCAGTTGGCACATGCACTCAGCATCTACAAACTCTAACATACATCACATGTGTTATTAGCATATAAAACCTGCACGTAAAGGTGTGTTTTACTGTTAAAATGAGAAAACAGTCACTATAAGCTAAACCTTGAGCCCACCTGAGCAAGTAGGACAAAGAAAGAAAAAGAAAATTCTTAGCTCCAAGGCAGAAATTTGTAGCTATTAATTTCTTGGGATTCTTGTGCAGATTGGCTGGATATTGGAGAAGATACATCAGGAATAAGGAGTTTTTGTTCTTTTTCCTGGACCTATATCAGGTATCAGAACCTTGTAACTATCTTGCACTCTGCTGGTATCCTGTGGGACTGCTTATCTTGCAAAAGAGTTAGGTGCTGACACAGAAGGGTGCTAGGGATGGAGCCTGCAGGGCTTCAAACAAGGGATCCAGTCAGTATTGCCATCTAACCTAACTTATTCTGCCCCATTATGAAATTCAAGATGTATCAATATTAAAATAAATTTTCATTGTTTATATTTCGTGTGTTTAATGAAAAAAATACATATTCCCCCAAATAAATGTGAGCTGTGAGCTTTATGACTACATATATAAACAACACTCAAAACAATATTGTTGCCAATATTAGCTAGTGTAAACTGAAAAGTATCTGAGACAGAACCTAACACATATTTACAGAATATCCTATCAAAGAGCTACAGAATATGAATTCTTCTCATCAGCACATAGAACATTCTTTGAGATACATCATATGATTGGCCACAAAACAAGTCTCAATAAATTTTAAAAAATTAAAATTATATCAAATATCTTCTCAGACCACAGTAAAATAGAATAAAAAATCAACTCCAAAAGAAACCACAAATCCATGGAAATTAAACAATCTCCTCCTAAATAATTTTTAGGTTAACAATAATGTCAAGATGAAAATTTAAAAATGTAAACATCAAAATGAATGATAATAGTGACAAAAGTTATGAAAATCCCTACAAAACAGCAAAAGCACTGCTAAGAGCATTTGCAGTGCTAAATGCCTACATCAAAAAGTCTGAAAGGACACAAACTGACTACCTAATTTCACACCTCAAGAAACTAGAGAAACAAGAGCAAAACAAATCCAAAGCTAACATATGAAAAGAAATAAAGATTAGAGCAGAACTAAATGAAATTAAAACAAAAAATCCCAAAAGATCAATAGAACAAAAAGCTGCTTCTTTGAAAAGAAACAAAATTGATAAGCCGTTGGCTAGATTAACCAATATATAAGAGAATTTCAAATGAGCTATAGTGAAATGAAACTGGAGACTTTACAGCCAACATACAATATCAACACAATATAGAAATACATACAACCAACATAATATAGAAATACAAAAGACCATTCAAGACTACTGTGAACATTTCTATGTACACAAACTAGAAAATCTAGAGGAAATAGATAAAGTCCTGGAAACATACTACCCTCCTAGAATAAAGGAGGAAAGAATAGCAACCCTGAACAAACCAATAACAAGCAGCAAGATTTAATCAGTAATTTTTTTAAAATGCCAAGAAAAAAATAAGCCCATGGCCAGATAAATCTAGAGCTACATTTTATCAGACACTCAAAGAAGAATTAGTACCAATTCTACTGAAACTATTCCAAAGGATTGAGAAAGAGGTAATCTTCTCTAAGTTATTCTATGAACCCAGTATCACCCTCATACCTAAACCAGTAGTGAGCATAACAAAAAAAGGAAACTACAGACAAATTTTCTTCATGAACATAAATGCAAAAATTCTCAAAGAAATACTAGTTAACCTAATCCAACAGCACACCAAAAAGATAATATGCCATGATCAATTATGTTTCATCTCAGGCATACAAGGATGGCTTAACATACACAAGTCAACAAATGTGACACATCACATAGACAGAACTAAAAAGAATTATACAATTATCTAAATATAAGCAGAAAAAGCACCATAAAATCTTGTATCACTTTATGATAAAAACACTCAACAAACTAGGCATAGAATGAACTTATCTCAAAATAATAAAAGCCATATATGACAAACCCACAGCCAACATCACACTGAATATAATGATTTACCCTAAGAACTGGAATAAGAAAAGGATACCCACTTAGACCACTTCTGTTCAACAGAGTACTGGAAGTTCTGGCCAGAGCAATCCGGCAGGATAAAAAACATAGGGCATCCCAATTGGAAAAGAGAAAGTGAAACTATCGCCATTTGCTAATGATATAATTTTATACCTATAAAACCCTAAAGATTCCTCCAAAAGAATCCTAGATTCGATAAACAAATATAGTGAAGTCACAGGATGTAAAATCAATGTACACAAATCAATGGCACTGCTATACACCAACAGTGACCAAGCTGAAAATCAAATCAAGAAGTCTCTTTTACAATAGCTGAAAAAATATAAAAATATCTAGGAATATAAGTAAACAAGAAAGTGAAGAATCTGTAGAAGGAGAAATACAAAACATTGCTGGAAGAAAACTGAGATGACAGGTTGGGCACAGTGGCTCACGCCTGTAATCCCAGAACTTTCGGAGGATGAGGCAGACAGATCACGAGGTCAGGAGATCAAGACCATCTGGGCTAACACAGTGAAACCCTGTCTCTACTAAAACTACAAAAAATTAGCCGGGCATGGTGGCACACGCCTGTAGTCCCAGCTACTCAGGAGGCTGAGGCAGGAGAATCACTTAAACCCAGGAGACGGAGGTTTCAGTGAGCCAAGATCATGCTACCGCACACCAACATGGGCGACAGAATGAGACACCATCTCAAAAACAAAACAAAACAAAAAAAAGATGACACAAACAAATGTAGATGCATCTGATGCTCATGGATAGAAACTCAATCAATATTCTGAAAATCACCACACTGCCCAAAGCAATCTACAGATTAAATGCAATTTCCATCAAGATACCAACATTATTTTTTACAGAACTAGACAAAACAATCTTAAAATTTATATGGAATCAAAAAAGAGCCTTAATAGGCAAAGGAATGCTAAGGAAAGAGAACATATTTGGAAATATTACACAACCAGACTACAAGTTATATTACAAGGCTGTATTTACCAAAATAGCATGATACTTTTATAAAAGTAGGCACACAGACCAGTGAAACAGAAGAGAATACTCAGGAATAAGGTCAGATACTTATAAACAACTGATATTTGATATAACATACAAAAACATAAAATAGAGAAAAGGCATTCTATTTAATAAATTGTGCTTAGAAAACTCACGAGCCAGCCTGGGTGCGGTGGCTCACACCTGTAATCCAAGCACTTTGGGAGTCTGAGGCAGGTGGATCACCTGGGATCAGGAGTTCGAGACCAGCCTGGCCAACATGGTGAAACCCTGTCTCTACTAAAAATATAAAAAATTAGCCGGGTGTGGTGGCATGTGCCTGTAATCCCAGCTACTTAGGAGGCTGACGCGGTAGGATTGCTTGATCCTGGGAGGCAGAGGTTGCAGTGAGCCAAGATCATGCCACGACATTCCAGCCTGAGCAACAGAGCAAGACTCCATCTCAGAAACAAACAAACAAAAAAACAAAGAAAGACAAAAGAAAACTGGCTAGCCACATGTAGAAGAATGAAACTGGATACCTATCTTTCACCTTATACAAAAATCAACTCAAGATGAATGAAAGATGTAAATCTAAGACCTGAAACCATAACAATTCTAGAATATATCCTTGGAAAAACTCTTCTGGATATTGGCCTAAGCAGAGAATTCATGACCAATTTCCTGTATTAGTCTCTTCTCCCATTGTGATAAAGAAATACCTGAGGCCAGAACATTTATAAAGAAAAGAGGCCTCATTGGCTCTTGGTTCTGCATACTGTACAGGAAGCATGGTGACATCAGCTTCTGGGAAGACCTCAGGGAACTTACACTCATGGAAAAAGTTGAAATGGGAGCCAGCACAACACAAGGCTGGAGTAGGAGGAAGAAAGCAAAGAGGTGCTACACCCTTTTAAACAAGCAGATCTCATAATAACTCACTCCCTATCATAAGAACAGCACTGAGGAAATGGTGCTAGACAATTTATGAGAACTTTGCCCCCATGATCCAGTCACCTCCCACCAGGTCCCACCTTCAAAACTGGGGCTTACAATTAGACATGAGATTTGGGGAAACACAGATCCAAACCTTATTATTCTGACTGTGGCCTCTCCAAATCTCCTGTCCTTCTCACATTTCAAAATACAATTATTCCTCCTCAACAGTTCCCCAGAATCTTAACTCATTCCAGCATTAACTCAAAAGTCTAAAGTTTAAAGTTATCAGGCCACTGAGCCCAAGCTAAGCCATCATATCCCCTGTGACCTGCATGTGTATATCCAGATTGCCTGAAGTAACTGAAGAATCACAAAAGAAGTGAAAATGGCCTGTTCCTGCCTTAACTGATGGCATTACCTTGTGAAATTCCTTCTCCTGGTTCATCCTGGCTCAAAAGCTCCCCTACTGACCACCTTGTGTCCCCTGCCCCTGCCAGTCAGAGAAAAACCCCCTTTGACTGTAATTTTCCACTCCCTACCCAAATCCTATAAAACGGCCCCACCCCTATCTCCCTTTGCTGACTCTCTTTTTGGACTCAGCCCACCTGCACCCAGGTGAAATAAACAGCCTCGTTGCTCACACAAAGCCTGTTTGGTGGTCTCTTCACATGGACGCGAGTGAAAAGAGTCTCATCTGAGATAAGACAAGTGTCTTCCACCTATACGCCTCTAAAATCAAAAACAAGTTATTTACTTCCAAGATACAATGGTGATACAAGCATTTGATAGATACTTCCATTTTAAAGTGGAAGAGTTGGCCAAAGAAAGGAGCTGCAGGACCCATGAAGTCCAAAACCCAACAGGGCAGTCATTAAACCTTAAAGCTCCAAAATAATCTAGCTCACTAAAATGCTAATTAGGCAAAAACAGGAGGTAAAGAAATAGCCAATCATCTATCACCTGAGAGCACAGTGGGAGGGACAATGATTGGGACATAAACCCAGGCATTCAAGCCCGCAACAGCTACCCTCTTTGGGTCCCCTCCCTTTGTATGAGAGCTGTTTTCACTCTATTTCACTCTATTAAATCTTGCAACTGCACTCTTCTGGTCCGTGTTTGTTACGGCTTAAGCTGAGCTTTCGCTCGCTGTCCACCACTGCTGTTTGCTGCCCTCGCAGACCCACCGCTGACTTCCATCCGTCCAGATGAGGCAGGGTGTTCACTGTGCTCCTGATCCAGTGAGGCGCCCATTGCTGCTTCTGATTGGGCTAAAGGCTTGCCATTGTTCCTGCACTGCTAAGTGCCCGGGTTCATTCTAATCAAGCTGAACACTAGTCACTGGGTTCCACGGTTCTCTTCCGTGACCCACAGCTTCTAATAGAGCTATAACACTCACTGCATGGCCCAAGATTTCTTTCGTTGGAATCCGTGAGGCCAAGAACCCCATGTCAGAGAACACGAGGCTTGCTACCATCTTGGAAGTGGCCCGTGGCCATTTTGGAAGTGACCCACCGCCATCTTGGGAGCTCTGGGAGCAAGGACCTCCTGGTAACACTTTGACTCCATGTCTCACATACAGGGCATACTGGTGCAAAGGGTGTGCTCCCAAGGCCTTGGACAGCCCCACACTTGTGAATTTCCAGGTTCAGCCCCCACAGCTGCTTCTTACAGGCTCTGCAGCTTTTCCAGAAGCACAGTGCAAGCTGCCAGCATATCAACCATTCTGGGATCTGGAGGATGCTGGTCCTCTTTTGACATCTCTGCTAGGCAATGCCTCAGTGGGGACTCCAGGTAGGGGATACAACCCTACATTTCCCCTTAATGCTTCTTTATTAGAGGTTGCCCATAAGGCTCTGCCACTGCAGCAGGCTTCTGCCTAGACATTCAGGCTTTTCCATACATCTTCTGAAATCTAGGTGAAGGCTCCAAATTCTCAACTCTTGCACTCTGTGCACCCACAGGCTTCAACACCACATGAAAGCTGCCAAGGCTTATGGCTTGCACCCTCTGAAGCAGCACCCTGAGTTTTACCTGAACTCCTTTGAGCTATGGCTGGATGGCTGGAACTGAAGTAACTAGCATGCAGGGAACAGTGTCTTGAGGCTGCATAGGGCAGTGGGGCCCTGGGACCAGCCCTGGAAATCATTATTCCCTCCTAAGTCTCAGGGCATGTAATTAAAGGGGCTGCAATGAAGGAATCTGAAACGCTTTGTTGGCCTTTTCCCCATTGTCTTAGATATAACTGCTTGCCTTCCTTTTAGTTATGCTGATTTCTACAGCCTGCTTGAATTACTCCCCTGAAAATTGGCTTTTCTTTTCTATCACCTAAGTGAGCTGCAAATTTTCCAAACTTTTATCCTCTGCTTCCCTTTTAAATATAAGTTCCAGTCTCAGGCCATTTGTCTGTTCACATGTATAAACTTAGGTGGTTAGAAGCAGCCAGGTCACATTTTGGACACTCTGCTGCTCAGAAATTTCTTCCACCCAATACACTAAATCATCTATCTCAACTCTCTCAAGTTCAAAGTTTCTCAAAATCCTAGGGCAGGGGCAAAATTCCTTCAGCTTCTTTGCTAAGGCATAACAAAAGTGACCTTAGCTCCAGTTCTCAAAAAGTTCCTCATCTTCATCTGAGACCTCCTTAGCCTGGCTTTCACGGTCCATATTACCATCAGCATTTTGATCCCAGTTTAAGCAGTCTCTAGGAAGTTCCAAATTTTCCCTCATTTTCCTGTCTTCTTCTAAGCCCTCCAGACTCTTTTTTTTCTATTTTTTTTTTTAGATGGAATCTCTCTCTGTCGCCCAGCCTGGAGTGCAGTGGCATGATCTCAGCTCACTGCAAGCTCCGCCTGCTGGGTTCATGCCATTCTCCTGCCTCAGCCTCCCAAGTAGCTGGGACTACAGGTGTCCACCACCACGTCCGGCTAATTTTTTTGTATTTTTAGTAGAGACAGGGTTTCACCGTGTTAGCCAGGATGGTCTCAATCTCCTGACCTCGTGATCCACCCACCTCGGCCTCCCAAAGTGCTGGGATTACAGGCATGAGCCACTGAACCCAGCATGACTGTTACATAATTCCAACATTGCTTCTGCATTTTCACGTATCTTGATAGCAATGCCACACTCCTTGGTACCAATTTCCTTTATTAGTTCAATCTTGCATTGTCATAAAGAAATACCTGAGACTGGGTAATTTATAAAGAAAAGAGGTTTAATTGACTCATGGTTCTGCAAGCTGTATAAAATCATGGCAGCATAATCTTCTAGGAAAGCCTCAGGGAACTTACAATCATGGTGACAAGTGAAGGGGAAGCCAGCACTTCTCATGGCTGAAGCAGGAGAAAGAGAGGGAGGGAAGAGGGACTACATGATTTTAAATTACCAGATCATCCAATAAGTCACTCACTCACTCACTCACTCACTCAACACTCACTCACTATCACAAGAGTAGCACTGAAAGGGTGATGTTAATCCATTCATGCCTCCAACACTGGAGATTACAATTTGACATGAGATTTGGTGGGAACACAGACTCAAACCATATCAGCCCCTGAAAGCAAATGCAACAAAAACAAAAATAAATACGTGGGACCAAATTTAATTAAAAAGCTTCTGCAAAGCCAAAGAAATTATCATCAGAAAAAAACAGACAACACACAGAATGGGAGAAAATATTTGCAAACTATATGGTAAACAAAGAACTAGTGTCCAGAATCTACAAGAAACTTTAACAAATTAGCAAGAAAAAAACAAATAATGCCGTTAAAAAGTTGGCAATTGACATTGTGAACTCAAAATATCTGAGACAGTTCTCAGTCAATTTGGAAAGTTTCTTTTGCCAAAGTTAAGGACATGTGCCCATGACACAGCCTCAGGAGGTCCCAGTGACATGTGCCCAAGGTGATAAGAGCACAACTTGGTTTTATACATTTTTAGGGAGACATAAGACATCAATCAACATATATAAGTTGTACATTGGTTCAGCCCAGAAAGGTGGAACAACTCAAAGCAGGGCTGGGGTTTCCAGGTCATAAGTGGGTGAAGGACAAACAGTTGCATTTCTTTGATTTCCTGATTAGCCTTTCCAAAGGAGGCAATCAGATATGCATTTATCTCAGTGAGCAGAGGGGTGACTTTGTATAGAATGGGAGTCAGATTTGCCCTAAGCAGTTTCCAGTCTGACTTTTCCCTTTAGTGTAGTTATTTTGAGGCCCAAGATTCATTTTCCTTTTATATTTCTCCCCTTTATAAAGTGTTTCAGAGAAATCTTTTTTTTTTTTTTTTTTTTTTTTTTTTTTTTTTTTTTTTTTTTTGTCTCTGGTCTCAGGTTTCCTCTTATTTCTCATGGCCAGGGTGGTTTATTTCTAGATGGGTAGGTCCCATGTTATTAGACAAACTCATTTTTAGCAGGTTGTGAAGTCCAATGTTCTAGGAAGAGATAATAGAGGGAGAAAGAGAGAAAAAAAAATGAACAAAAAATAGAAATCCTGGAAAGTTGATATAGGCCATATTACTCTGCCATACATTAGTAGGTAGGTATAAAAGTGGCTTATACATGTAAATAGGTTGCTGTTATTTTCTTCTGCAGTTTAAGTTGTATGGCTTCTGTTTGCAGGGATTTAAGAAAGCACAGCTTAATATTCAATGATTTCAAATTAGAAAAAAATTGAGGGAAAAGAAAAGAAAGAAGGAAAAAATATAAAAATGTTATTTTGGAGACTTATAGCCAGGAAAAATTAGAATTCAGTCCAAACTGTACAAAATAATAAAAATGTAAAAACATTAGGCAAGACTAGAATCTAACAAGTTTGCTATAGTTTTTGAAACATAATTTTTCTCTCTTCAGTTTCCCATTTTTCAATTCTATTTTACTTGCTTTATTATACTTGGTCTGATTATAGAAAAGTGCAGGAAGAATAATTATTTTTTAAATGGGCTTTTTAAAAATTGGCTTTGATGAAACTTCGTTCCATAGAAGAAATCTCAGATAAAACTTTTTTAAAGTCGAGCCAAGCCATGGCTTTGTAACATCAAATACCTATGAGTCGGGTAAATTCCTCTGCTCTTGAGATCCCAAGATAATTTGGAGCTCCCAGGCCTGTCAGAAAGTGACATTCTTTACTTAGTACAGATAAGGAGCCCTGTACAGGGACTGTGTAGACAAGGTATAAGGCCAGATTTCTCAAGGGGCTTTTATTGGCTCTATAAGTCAAGTTTGATTCCTTAGAAGAAAGCACTCTATTCCAGTCAAAACCTTGGTAAAATAACCAGTTTCTCCAACTGTGTTCTGTTACATAAAAATACAAATGGCCTAGACATTGAATGAATATCTATTATTTATCTTAATGTAACTTTAGATTTTAAATTATAAGGCAAGATTATCTAAAAGCATTTATTCCATTACATTTACCTAATTAATTAGTTTTTAAAAATAGTTTACCCAGATTACTTATGAAAACTGGGATAATTATTTAAAGTTATTTCCTTGTTGTCTATGTTTATAACCTGTGAATTTCAGGTTTTCCTCAGTAATAAATTTAAGTTTAGATAATTTTTTTTGCCGTTAACTCCGGATTTAGCTATTTTCATTAACCAAACAGTATTAACTGTTATTTATTAAATTTTACATAAACAAGTATAATTTTCTTTTGAGCTGCATTTATAGCTTTATAAACCTCATGACAAATTTTGATATATAGCAGAGATAAATAATGTGCATTGACAATTCTGAAGCCATTTCTAATTCTATTTCATTAAAAATTCTAAAAACCAGCTTATTTAATAAAGATTTACTTAAGTCATGTGAACTTTAAAAAGCATTAGGCTCAAAGCCTCTATTTTTCTGACAAAGTATTTGATTTAAGCTTTTGTAAGCAAATTAATTAGAACTTCTTTATACATTTTTAGTATGAAACATCATATACATGACACATAAATGCACAGATGTATTAGACATGTAGATAGAAGTAGATCTTATAAATTTAGACCTCTATTTTTTCTCCTATTTTAGATTTCCAATTTTTTGATAACCTATTTTATTGCCCTAGGCAATTGTCAGCTAGATAGCCCTAAATGTTCATATTAAAGGAACTCTTTGGTGAAAAATCAGATAGCAAAATTTACATCTCAAAGTACAGAGAGAGTCTTGTGGTGCTAGAGAAAGATTAAAGATAGATGCCAAATCAAACATGAAATTATAGAAATATAGGATTGTATAAGGAGACCCATTTGTTTTTAGATAGGGACTATCTATCTTTTCATTGGATCCCTAAGCTCTAGGCAGAGCCCACATTGAATCCTGGGGCTCCAAAAAGGGAGAATTATTATGAGGGTAGACCACATGTTGCTTTTACAGTGCACTGAAAAAAATTATTTTAAACAAAAACTTTTAAGTGTCTAAACTACACTCTTCTTTAAAAACTCAAGAATAGCTTCTGTTGTAATAACTATTTTAGTCAAAAATCAGCTAACACAAGCAGTTTAATATCTGAGCCAAACTTGTCTGTTTACACACTTGGAGTACCATAAAGAAAAACAGAGGTTACGCCCCAAAAGGGAGTCTGGCACAATCTCCCCCCATTTTTTTTTTCTTTAAGAAATTCCAGGCTATTATAAACTATTTTAGGTCCCTCATGCAGCAGAGGGTGGCAAGAGAAAGGAGAGACAGCAGAAGTAAATGGAGAAACATAATTCAGTCAGCTGAGAAGAAAAAAACTTTTGTTCCAAAAAAAAAGACAAGGTCCAAGGAGAGAAAAAGAAAAAAAATGAAGACCTTTTAATACAAACACACACATGCACCCATACACAGACACATCTTGGATGTTAACTTTAAGCTGGCTTTTAACCATTGCGTTCCTTTAAAAAATGTTTTTAAATCTATTTGCTATATTTTAGCTAGAACGAATTGCTAATATTTTAAAAGTAACGAGTATCAAACTAGAAAGGGCTTGATTTAGGAACCAAGACAGGCTGTCCTGGTGGACAAAAAAAAAAAAAAAGGGCAACCAGAACCTTAGCTATGGAACTGCAGCATGGGGCAACAGCCATTGCTCTTTCAGTTTGGCTTGGCTAGCAAAAAGGTGGCCTTGTTATGTAAATAAAGCCCCTTAAGTAGTCATAATATAAATCTTCCCTTATTTCTTTTGCTGGCCGTTTTCCTCCACACCCCACTTTTTTTTTTTTTTTTTTTTTGGCAGAAATTTAGCCACTTCAGATGTCTTCTTCCCAATAATTTGGAACTTTCCTTCAGATTTGATAAAGTCAGATAGAGCTGGTAAAACCCAATGGGAAAAAGACTGAAAACAACAACCAAAACAGAAACAAACAGGTAACAACAACAACAACAAAAAAAGCAGTTAAGCAAAACAAAGAAATGATTGAGCACTGTAATGGTAATGAGAAATTAAGACCAGCTGGTTGTTAATCTTAACTTTAGCTGAGACCAAACCCCAACTAAGCTACTTACATGGGGATGCGTCTCAGGCTGAGGACTGCTCTCTACCATCCTAGAAGCAGAAAAAATAACCTCCAACTTGCCTTCCCTTTTAGAAGTGAGCTCAAACTCCAGAAAAGAGTTATCTGCTTTGCATCCTCATGGAAGCAGGAAATCTTGCCTTCATTGTTGGAAGCAAGTAAAACTCCAGAGAAGGAGATATACAGCAAAATAAACTGTCGATTTCAAGCAAATTTTGGGAGACTAGAGGTCCTCTGGAGGGAGGGTAGCTTCCAAGCCTCAGCAAATTGTCTTATAGGTTTGAGCCATAAAGATAGCTCAAGCTGGTACCAAGCCCCCATAAGAGATTTGTCAAAGGTCAGGACCACCTCCACTCAGAGTTCCTTCCGTTGGTCACCAAATACAAACTGAAAATATGTGAGACAGGTCTCAGTCAACTTACAAAGTTTATTTTGCCAAAATTAAGGATGCATGCCCATGATGCAGCCTCAGGAGGTTGTGAGGAGAATTGCCGAAGGTGATGAGGGCACGGATGGGTTTTATACATTTTTGATGAGACATCAATCAATATGTGTAAGTTGTATGTTGGTTCAGGAGAGACAACTCAAAGCATGAAGGAGATTTCCAGGTCATTAGTAGGTGAGAAACAAGTGGTTGCATTTTTTTTTTTTTTGAGTTTTTGTTTAGCCTTTCCAAAGAAGGCAATCAGATAATGCATTTATCTCAGTGAGCAGAGGGATGACTTTGAATAGAATGGGAGTCAGGTTTTCTTTAAGCAGCTTCCAGCTTGACTTTTCCCTTTACTGTAGTAATTTGGGGTCCCAAGATTTATTTTCCTTTCACAACATGAATAAACATTTCTCAAAAGATAACCAAGTGGAAAACAAACATATAAAAAATGCTCAGCATCATTAATTATCAGGGAAATGCAAATTAAAACCACAATAAAATACCACCATATTCCTGTAAGAATGATCATTATTAAAAAGTTGAAAGAAAAAAAGATGTTGGCATGGATGTGGTGAAAGGGGTATTCTTCTAAACTGCTGGTGGGAATGTACATTAGTACAAACTATCGAAAACAGTGTAAAGATTCTTTAAAGAACTAAAAGTAGATCTACCATTCAATCCAGGATTCTTACTACTTGGTATCTACCCAAAGGAAAATAAGTCATCATATGAAAAAGCCACATGCACAAGAATGTTTATTGCAGCACAATTTACAATTGCAAAGATATAAAACCAATCTAAGTGTTCATCAACCAATTAGTGGATTTTAAAAAATGGGGTATATTTACACTATGGAATACTACTCAGCCATAAAAAGAAAAATATTGTCTTTTGCAGCAGCTTTGATGGAGCTGGAGGCCACTATTCTGAGTGAAATTTGGTAGGCCAAGTACTATATGTTCTCCCTTATAAGTGTGAGCTAAGCTATGAGAATGCAAAGGCATACACAGTGATATAATGAGCTTTGGAGACACAGACGTGGGAGAGAGGAAGAGATTTGAGGGATAAAAGACTACATATTGGGTATAATAAACACTATTTAGGTGAGAGTTGCATTAAAACCTCAGAATTTACCACAATATAATCTATCTTTGTAGCCAAAAGCATTTGTACCCCAGAAGCTATTGAAGTAAAAAAATTTTTAAAAACCCAAAATATTCTCTGAGAATTAGTGCCTATTTTGCATGAACCCTCTTTTGTAATAGTTACAAAATTATAATTTTCTAATTCTATTTATAGGTTATTCCTTGATATTCTATTTATGTATCTATTTATTAATAGGATGAACTCGTAGGTTTTTATAATTTATCCACTGGTTTATAATTTATTACTATACTTACTTTGGTATTAAATTGCCCAGATTTGACAGTGACACATTTTTCAAGGTAGAACCTCTCTCATTGTACCACATTCCCAACCTATCAAGATGTTCTAAGTTTATTTTGGACCCATACTGCAGCAGGCCAGAAATCAGATGCTTCTGTCAGGGAACCCTCGTTCCTTATAGAATAGTACTAGAAATCAAAATTTAGGTGTTAGTTGTGCCCATTGCTGTTGGAATGACTTTGCTTCTAGGTTGTCTCAGTGCTAGGGATAGAAAATATATGCCTGTTAATACACATATGTACATGTACACATACACTTTCATGAATATGTTCAGATGGATAGATAGATACATAGATAGATAAATAGACAGACACACAGATACACAGATAGAAATATTTTATACTAATACCTCTAATACCAGTCCATTCCCCAGGGTTCATTCTTGATTTAACACATTTTATATTTGTATTTTTCTTCTACCACAGTGAAAAACCTGGTTCAGTCAATCTGTTTTAACCACAAATATTTATAATTTTCAAATATTTGTGTTGGGCGTTCCCAAGTCCACTTTTACATTCTGAATCACTGCATTAGAAGCTGTTATTCTTATTGTTATTGTTTGTTACAGAAAAAGGATACAGATCAGAATAAGTAAAGAGGAAAGGGGCATAAGGCCATGTCCAAGAGAAACCAGATGCAGCATTCCCTTCTGTGTTAGTCCATTGTGCATTGCTCTAAAGAAATACCTGAGGCTAGGTAATTTATAAAGAAAAGAAGTTTATTTGGCTCACAGTTCTACAGGCTATAGAAGAAGCATAGTGATCACATTTGCTTCTGGTGAGAGCCTTAGGATGCTTACACTCATGGTGGAAGGTAAAAGGGGAGCAGGCATGCCACATGGCATTAAAGGGAGAAAGAATACGGTGATCCCAGTCTCTTTAACAACCGCATCTAATATGAACTCACTTACTGTAGAGAGGGCATCAAGCCATTCATGAAGAATCCTCTTATGACCCAAACACCTACCATGAGAGCCCAACTCCAAACTTGGAGATCATATTTTGATATGAGATTTGGAGGGGAAAATATCCAAACTATATTCCTCTACTCCTAGCCCCCCAAATCTTATGTTCTTCTCACATAGCTAAATGCAATATATGTCCAATAATCCCAAAATGTCTTAACTAATTCCAGCATCAACTCAAAAGTCCCATTTTCCACCTAAATTTCAGAGGATGTATGAAAACGCCTGGATGTCTAGGCAGAGGTCTGATCCAGGGGTGGAGGCCTCATGGAGCACATCTGTTAGGGCAGTGCAGAAAGGAAATGTGAGGTCAGAGGTCCCACACAGAGTCCCATCTGGGGCACTACCTAGTGGAGTTGTGAGAAGAGGGGAACTATCCTTCAGAATCCAGAATGGTAGATCTACCAACAGCTTGCACCATGCACCTGGAAAAGCCGCAGGCACTCAATGTCAGCTCATGAGAACAGCCACAGGGGCTGAACCCTGCAAAGCCACAGGGGTGGAGCTGCCCAGGTCTTGGGAACCCAGTCTTCGCATCAGCATGTGCTTGACGTGAGACAAGGAGTCAAATGATATTATTTTGGGGCTTTAATATTTAATGAATGCCATGGCTATTAGGGATTTTTTTTGGTTCCATATGACTTTTAAAATAATTTCTTCAAATTCTGTGGAGAATGTTAATCATAGCTTAATGGAAATAGCCTTAAATCTATAAATTACTTTGGGCAGTATGGCCGTTTTCATGATATTGATTCTTTCTATCCATAGCATGGAATGTTTTTCCCATTTATTTGTGCTCTCTCTGAATTCCTTGAGCAGTGGTTTGCAGTTCTCCTTGAAAAGGTCCTACACTTCCCTTGTTAGCTGTGTTCTTAGACATTTTATTCTCTTTGTAGCAATTGTGACTGAGAGTTAATTTATGATTTGTCTCTCCACTTGCCTGTTGTTGGAGTATAGAAATGTTAGCAATTTTTGCATAGATTTTGAATCCTGAGACTTTGCTGAAGTTGCTTATCAGCTTAAGAAGATTTTAGCCTGAGATGATGGGGTTTTCTAGATATAGGATCATGTTATTTACAAACAAAAATAATTTGACTTCCTCTATCCCTATTTGAATACCCTTTATTTCTTTCTCTTGCCTGGTTGCCCTGGCCAGAACTTCCAATACTATGTTGAATAGGAGTGGTGAGAGAGGGCATCCTTGTCCTGGGCCAGTTTTCCAGGGTCATGCTTCCAGAGTTTTCCATTCAGTATGATACTGGCTGTGGGCTTGTCATATATTGCTTTTTTTATTTGGAGATATGTTCCTTCAATACCTAGTTTATTGAGAGATTTTAACATAAAGGGATGTTAAATTTTATCAAAGGCTTTTTCTGCATCTATTGAGATAATCATGTGGTTTTTGCCTTTAGTTCTGTTTATGTAATGAATTCACATTTATTGATTTGTGTATAAATCTGGAGGCATCATGCTATACAACTTCAAACAATACTACAAGGTTACAGTAACCAGAGCGTCATGGTACTGGTACAAAAAGAGACACATGGAAATGGAACAGAATACAGAACTCAGAAATAAGATCATATACCTACGATCATCTGATCTTTGATAAGCCTAACGAAAACAAGGGATTGGGAAAGGATTCCCTATTTAATAAATGGTTCTGGAAAAACTGACTAGTCCTATGCAGAAAACTGAAACTGCACCCCTTCCTTACTGCATATACAAAAAGCAGTGAAAGATGGATTATAGACTTAAATGTAAAACCCAAAACTGTAAAAGTCTAGAAGAAAATCTAGGCAATACTATTCAGGATATAGGCAGTGGCAAAGATTTCGTTATGTAAATGCCAAAAGCAATTGTGACAAAAGCAAAAATTGACAAACAGGATATAGTTAAACTAAAGAGGTTCTGTCCAAAAAAAGAAATTATCATCAGAGTGAACAAACAACCTACAGAATGAGAGAATTCTGTTTCAATAGATCCATCTGACAAAGGTTTAATAGTCAGCGTCTAGAAGAAACTGAAACAAATTTAGAAGAAAAAACAAGTAACCCTATTAAAAAGGGGGCAAAGGACATGAGCAGACATGAACAGACACTTCTCAAAAAAAGACATTTGTGTGGCCAATAAATACATGAAAAAAAGCTCAACATTACTGATCATTAGAGAAATGCAAATCAAAACCACAGGAGATACCATTTCATACCAGTCAGAATGGCAATGATTAAAATGTCAAGAAACTACAGATGCTGGCAAAGTTGCAGAATAAAAAGAACATTTTTACACCGTTGGTGAGAGTGTAAATTAGTTCAACCATTGTAGAAGACAGTATGGCAATTCCTCAAAAACCTAAAGGCAGAAGTACCATTTGACCCAGGAATCCCATTACTGGGCATATACCCAAAGGAATATAAATCATTCTATTATAAAGATACATGCACGTGTATGTCAATTGCAGCACTATTCACAATAGCAAAGACATGGAATCAACCTTAATGCCCATCAATGATAGACTGGATTTAAAAAATGTGGTACATATACACCATGGAATACTATACGGCCATAATAAGAAACATGATTATGTCCTTTGCAGGGACATGGATTGACTGCAAACTAATGCAGGAACAAAAAAACAAACACTGCATATTCTCACTTACAAGTGGGAGCTGAATGATAAGAACACATGGATATATTGGGGGGAACAACACACACTGGGGCCTATTGGGAGTGAGGGTAGGGGAAGGAAGATCATCAGGAAGAATAGATAATGCATGCTGGGCTTATTACTAAGGTGATAGGTGGATCTGTGAAGCAAACTACCATGGCACTTGTTTACCTATGTAACAAACCTGCACATCTTGCACATGTATCCTGGAACATAAAATAAAAGTTGAAGGAAGAAAAGGATTCAATGACTGCCCCACTGGATTTTGGATTGGAATTGCATGGGGCCTTTAGCCCCTTTGTTTTGGCCAATTTCTTTCAATTAAAATGGGAATATTTATCCAATGCCTGTAACCACATTGTATCTTGGAAGTAACAAACTTGCTTTTGATTTTACAGTTTATAGGCGGAAGGGACTTTCCTTGTCTCAGATGAGACTTTGGCTTTGGACTTTTGGGATAATGCTGGAATGAGTTAAGACTTTGGGGAGACTGATAGGAAGACATGATTGATTTTGAAATGTGAAAGGAGCATGAGATTTAGGAAGGACCAGGGGTGGAATATGGTTTGGCTTTGTGTCCCCACCCAAATCTCAACTGGAATTCCAATCCCCAGGTATTGAGGGAGAGAGCTGGTGGGAGGTGATTAGATTATGGGGGCAGTTTTCATCATACTGTTCTCATGATAGTGAGTTCTCAAGAGATCTGATGGTTTTATAAAGGGCTCTTCCCCCTTTGCTCTGTCTCCTGCTGCCTTGTGAAGAAGGTGTTTGTTTGCCCTTCACATTCTGCTGTGATTGTAAATTTTTGGAAGCTTTCTCAGCCATACAGAACTGTGAGTCAATTAAACCTCTTTTCTTAATAAACTGCCCAGTCTCAAGGAAGTCATTTATAGCAGTGTGAAAATGGACTAATGCAGCTACTGTGCCTATTACCTGGGAAATGAAGTGCTATGTACATGAAATCCCTGTGGTACACAATTTATTTGTATAACAAACCTGCATTGAAAATAAAAGTTTAAACAAAAGTAGAAAACATCAAAGTCTGATATGTGTTTAGATGAGCATGTTAAGTGTGAATGCATTGCACAAGGCACTCTCATTTTTCAATATCTCTTACGAAAAGCTTTGTCCTTTCTTTCTTTCTTTTCTTTTTTTTTTTTTTTTTGAGACGGCATCTTGCTCTGTCACCCAGGTTGGAGTGCAGTGGCATGATCTCAGCTCACTGCATCTTCCGCCTCCTGGGTTCAAGAGATTCTCCTGCTTCAGCCTCCTGAGTACCTGGGACTACAGGCGTGCACCACCACGCCCAGCTAATTTTTGTCTTTTTAGTAGAGACGGTGTTTCACCATATTGGCTAGGACGGTCTTGAACTCCTGACCTTGTGATCCACCCACCTCAGCCTCCCAAAGTGCTGGGATTACAGGCATGAGCCACCGTGCCTGGCCTGTCCTTTATAAGATAAGTGTTTCGTCCATATGTACTTATATGGTTAAAGATTGGATTGCAATAGCCAGCATGGCATCCAGGTCTCATTATTGTTTGCTCAAATAAAGACATGATTCTCACCTCCTTTCTACAGGCACATTGAGTCTCTCTGTTCCCTGATACAACCTGAGGTAGTAAAAAGTGAATGCAAGAAGCTTAGGTTTAGGTTTTCATAAGTAGCAGAAGTGAGAGCTTGAGGAATCCATATAAGTGACTCTTGCATCAGCTTTCCAAATGGTATGGAAAGAAGTTGCCTCACTGGAACTCAAATATGAGAAAGGCAAGAAAAATATGGAAGTCATCATGGGTCAGAAAAACCAGAGAGGATCAGAAAGTCAAGAGCTACCTGTTCTGGTATTTAATCAAAGGCAAATAATCTTTTAAGGAAACAGTCCAGTACTTCTAATCTTTCTAGATACATTCATCCAACAAATATGTGTTGAACAACTAACATTGAGCTGCCACTTCACACCCACCCAGGATGGTTATAATAAAAAAATACATATAATTATAAGCATAAGTGAGGATGGGGCAAAATGGGAACCTTTATAGCATTCTAAGGAGAATGTAAAATGGCACAGCTGCTTTAGAAAAAAACTTCCTTAAAAGGTTAATCATAGGGTTACCATACGGTCCATCAATTCTACTCCTAGGTATACATTAAAAAAAATTGAAAGCATATGTTTACATGAAAATTTATATATAAATGTTTTTAGCAGCATTATACATAACAGCCAAAAAGTGAAAACTTCTTAAATGTCCATCAACTGATGAATGAATAAGCAAAATGTGGCATATTCATAGAATAAAATATCATTTAGCCATAAAAAGGAACAATCTACTGATACATGCCAAACCACGGCTGAACTTTGAAAACATACCAAGTGAAAGAAGCCAGTTACAACAGACCACATATTATATGATTTATTTATATGAGATGTCTAGCAAAAACAACAACAACAACAACAAAAAAAAAACCTATAGAGGAGGAAATCTGACTAGTGGTTACCAGGGGCTGGTGGGTAGGAGATTGAATGGAAATAAGATGTGAAGTGACTGAAAATTATAGTGCTGACTGCACGTTTCTGAAAATATACTAATAATCCTTGACTGTACAATTCAAATGGGTGAATTGTATGGCATCGCAATTAGAACTCAAGCTGTCATAGAAAAAATGGTTTATTCAGCATTAATTTACTAACCACTAAAAAAATACTAACACAGGGGTTCTCAACCTTAAATGCACATTGGAATTACTTAGGGAGGTTTCCAAACTTTTCAAGCCCAGATTCATTATGTCAAGATCTCTGGGAGTAAAACCCAGTCACCAATGTTTATAAAGCTTTCCAGGTGACTACTGTGTGTCACCAAGGTCACGATACATGCTATAAATATATGGAGCTCTGTAAAGTACTAAACTAGAAAGTGGCTGATTTCCTTATTTGAAACTTAGTTTCATTATTTGTAACTTGGACATAATAGTACTTGCCCTTTTTGCTTACAACATGTAAGAATACGTTTTTTAGACCACAAAATTAACCTCCCAAATCAACTTTAAAAGTAAAATATTAGTGGTAGTAATATATATGAGTGCTCATTGTTAAATTTATTCAACTTTACTGTATCTTTGGAAATTTTCATAATAAGATGTTGAGGTAATAAATGTATTATGCCTCAGAAATTATGATAGATTCAGAAGTATAGCAGTGAACTGAACTAACAAAGTTCCTGCTCTCACAGAGCTTACGTTTTAGCAAGATAGACAAAAATATAAGAAAATATATGTCAGGTTTCATATGTGATTTGAAAAAAATTGTAAAGAGGATTAAGAGAATTGAGAAATGACAGAAAATCTTTTCATATATTGTATCTTGGAAAGATTGATAATTAGACATTTAAATAGAGATTAATATTGCTTAATAATTATTCTGACTGCTACATTGGAGAAAGACTAGGAGGAGACAGTGATTGAAGCAAAGAAACGAATTAGAAGACTACATAATAGTTATTATAAGAGATTTTAGCGTGAGGCCAGGCGCAGTGGCTCACGCCTGTAATCCCAGCACTTTGGGAGGCGGAGGCGGGCGGATCACGAGGTCAGGAGATCGAGACCATCCTGGCCAACACGGTGAAACCCCGTCTCTACTAAAACAAAAACAAAAAATTAGCCGGGCGTGGTGGCTGGCGCCTGAGTCCCAGCTACTTGGGAGGCTGAGGCAGGAGAATGGTGTGAACCCAGGAGGCGGAGCTTGCAGTAAGCCAAGATCGTGCCACTGCACTCCAGCCTGGGCGACACAGAGAGACTCTGTCTCAAAAAGAAAAGATTATAGTGTGAAAAGAAAATATCTTGGGGCCCCCAAGATCACTCAGAGCACTGAGATCACTCACCCTCAGAGCAATGAGTTGGAAAAGATGTGCAGGCTCCTGATCTAGGGTGGGAATAGGGCATGCATCCCTTCAAAGAACCAGTCCAGAGAGTGTAGCATATCTTTCTGCTGCAGCCCCTGAACCTAACAGAAGAAACGTGGCTACAGTGCCAATGATCTGAGAGGCCCCCATCAAGGTCCAGGTGTGAAACTTGTGATGGGGTAATCTCTCTCTTCTCCCCATCAGAGAGCATAACTGCAAATGCAAGGAAGTACAAAAGAGCTGCATGGCTGGGTATTAACCTAACTACCAGTCATTACTCTTGAGCACCATATTCTGGATTGCAGCCCAAACTACAACACCCAAAATTTATCCTGCTAATATATAGACCTGTAAAACCAAGTGCAAGAACTTACCCACATATAAAGTTTCTGTACAGATCCCTAGCCCTCTGAATGCATCCAGAAATGAAGCCAACTGACTATACTCAACTCACACTACAGTTAAAAAAATACCAACCATCCCAGATGAGAAAGAATCAGTGTAAGAACTCTGGAAATTAGAAGTCCAAGGTGTCTTATTACCCACAAATCAGTCCACGATTTTCCCAGCAGTGGTTCTTAACCAATCAGAAATGACTGAGATGTCAGAAATGGAATTTAGAGTCCAGATGTCAAAAAAACACATAGGGATTCAGAAGTAAATAGAAACCCTGTCGGGCCTCTGAGCCCAAGCTAAGTCATCATATCCCCTGTGACCTGCACGTATACATCCGGATGGCCTGAAGTAACTGAAGAATCACAAAAGAAGTGAAATTTAAATGGCCTGTTCCTGCCTTAACTGATGACATTCCACCACAAAAGAAGTGAAAATGGCCAGTCCGTGCCTTAACTGATGACATTACCTTGTGAAATTCCTTCTCCTGGCTCATCCTGGCTCAAAAGCTCCCCCACTGAGCACCTTGTTGACCCCCACCCCTGCCCGCCAGAGAACAACCCCCCTTTGACTGTAATTTTCCTTTACCTACCCAAATCTTATAAAACGGCCCCACCCCTATCTCCCTTCCCTGACTCTCTTTTCGGACTCAGCCCGCCTGCACCCAGGTGAAATAAGCAGCCTTGTTGCTCACACAAAGCCTGTTTGGTGGTCTCTTCACACAGACATGAGTGAAAAACCCAATCTAATGAATCTAAAAAATCCAGTAAAATGACTCAAGAGATGAAAGATAAAACAACCATTTTAAGACAAAACCAAACTGAACTTCTGGAGCTAAAAATATTTACTAAAAAACAATTCATAATAAATCAAAAGTATTACTAAAAGAATAGAACAAGCTGAGAAAAGAATCTCCGAGTTTGATGGTCAGCTCTTTGAATCAACTCAGTCTAACAAAAATTAAGAAAAATGACTAAAACCTCCAAGAAATATGGGTTCCTGTAAAATGACCTGTGAACCCCCAAAATTTGAGGCAGGTTTGAGTTAACTTAGAAAGTTTATTTTGCCATTGAGCTGGGCACAGTGGCTCAATGCCTGTAATCCCAGCACTTTGGGAGGCCAGGGTGGGGAGATCGAGACCATCCTGGCTAACATGGTGAAACCCCGTCTCTACTAAAAATACAAAAAATTAGCTGGGCATGGTTGCACATACCTGCAGTCCCAGCTACTGGGGAGGCTGAGGCAGCAAAATCACTTGAAGCCTCCGAGGTGGAGGTTGCAGTAAGCTGAGATCATGCCACTGTACTCCAGCCTGGGTGACAGAGCGAGACTCCATCTCAAAAAAAAAAAAAAAAAAAGAAAACGAATGTTTATTTTGCCAAAGTTGAGGATGTGTGTCCATGACATAGCCTCAAGAGGTACTGACGACATGTGCCCCAGGTGGTCAGAGCACAGCTTGGTTTTATACATTTTATGGAGACTTAATACATCAATACACATAAAATGAACATTGGTTCAGTCCAGAAAGGTGAGACAACTCAAAGTGGGGAAGGGGTTTCCAGGTCACAGGTAGGTGAGAAAAAATGGTTGCACTCTTTTGAGTTTCTGATTAGCCTTTCCAGAGGAGGCAATCGGATATGCATTTATCTCAGTGAGAAGAGGGATGACTTTGAATAGAATGGGAGACAGGTTGGCCCTGAGCAGTTCCCAGCTTGAATTTTCTTGTTAGCCAAGACAAACTACTTTCTTATAGATTTTGGATATTAGACCCGTGTCAGATGTACAGCTTTCAAATATTTTCTACCATTATGTAGGTTGTCTGATTACTCTATTTTTTGTTTCTTTTGAAACAAATCAACAAGCAAAAAACAAATAACTTCGTTAAAAATGAACAAAGGACATAAAGAGACACCTCTGATAAGAATACATACAAGCAGTCAATAAACATATGAAGTAAGACCATCATCACCTTTCATTAGAGAAATGCAAATCAAAACCACAATGAGATACCATCTTACACCAGTGAGAATGGCTATTATTAAAAACTAAAACAATGAAAAACCCTGGCGAGGCTGCCGAGAAAAGGGAGCACATGTATACTCTTCATGAGAATGTAAATTAGTTCAGCCTCTGTGGAAAGCATGTTGGAGATTTATTTTAAAACTTAAAACACAGCTACCATTTGACCCAGCTGCCCTATTACTGGTTATATGCCCCAGGAATATAACTTTTTTTTAAACGGAGTTTCACTCTTGTCGCCTGGGCTGGAGTGCAATGGCGTGATCTTACCTCACTGCAACCTCCACCTCCCGGGTTCAAGAAATTCTCCTGCCTCAGCCTCCTGAGTAGCTGGGATTACAGGCGCCCGCCATCATGCCCAGCTAATTTTTGTATTTTTAGTAGAGACAGGGTTTCACCATGTTGGCCAGGCTCGTCTTGAACTCCTGACCTCAGATGATCTGCCAACCTTGGCCTCCCAAAGTGCTGGGATCACAGGCATGAAGCACCGCGCCTGACCAGGAAATAGATTATTATACCATAAAGATACATGCACGTGTATGTTCATTATCATGCTATTCACAATAGTAAAGACATAGAATCAACCTCAGTGCCCATCAATGGTGTACTTGATAAGGAAAATGTGGTACATATATACCATGGAATACTACATAGCCATAAAAAAGTATGAAATTATTTTCTTTGCAGCAACACAAATGGAACTGAAGTCCATAACTGTAAGCAAATTAACACAGGAATAGAAAACCGAATACCGCATGTTGTCATTTACAGTGTGAGCTAAACATGTAGCAAACATGTACAATAACATGAGTGCAGTAGAGATGATGGAATACTTGGGGGCATGGGGGATGGGGGCCATGAGTTGAAAAAGTACCTATTGGGTACTATGGTCACTTTTCAGGCCCAATATACTCATGTAAATATTTTTAATATGTACCTACTGTAACTAAAATAAAAGGTGTTTTTTAAGGTGCTATAAAAATGTTCTAAAGAACAATAGACACAACTCTAGATGATTTATTTTCCAATGATAATTAATCATTTATTTGTTTTGTGCCAAAAGTCACAACACATCTCCTACAAAGCCATAATATTTGATAAATTTGCTATAATAGTAATATAATGATATCTTATGACCAATTTTTTTTTTTTTTTTTTTTTTTTTTGAGATGGAGTTTCGCTCTCATTGCCCAGGCTGGAGTGCAATGGCATGATCTCTGCTCACTGCAACCTCCGCCTCCTGGGTTCAAGCAATTCTCCTGCCTCACCCGCCCAAGTAGCTGGGATCACAGATGTGCGCCACAACGCCTGGCTAATTTTGTATTTTTAGTAGAGACGAGGTTTCTCCATGTTGGTCAGGCTGGTCTCGAACTCCCGACCTCAGGTGATCTGCCTGCCTCGGCCTCCCAAAATGCTGGGATTACAAGTGTGAGCCACCACTCCTGGTCATGTTTTTCTTATTAACTCAGTATCAGGGTTGGTATAATATACAATTTTGAGACAGAGTTTGATACATTATCAAGTACTATTCAGTTTGGACTTTTTTTCAGTTTGGCTTGGACTAAAGGATAAAAGTAAAAGAAAAAATGGCTGAGTCCAGTGGCTCATGCAGTAATCCCAACACTTTGGGAGGCTGAGGCAGGCAGCTCACCTGAGGTCAGGAGTTCGAGACCAGCCTGGCCAACATGGTGAAACCCCATCTCTACCAAAAATACAAAAATTAGACAGGCGCAGTGGTGCATGACTGTAATCCCAGCTACTCGGGAGGCTGAGGCAGTAGAATTGCTTTAACTTGGGAGGTGGAGGTTGCAGTGAGCCAAGATCATGCCACTACACTCCAGACTGGGCAACAGAGGGAGATTCATTCTCAAAAAAAAAAAAAAAAAAAAAAGTAAAAAAAAAACTATAACAGAAGCAGCAGTATTAAATGTAGCAGAAAAAGAAGTAACTAGGGAATACTGTTAATGGACAATATCTAGACTTAAACATTTCACAACTACAAGTTTTCAGGTAACGTATACTAACTTTGCCCTCTACTTTTCAAATGTTACTATGAAAGAGGTTGGTTTCCAGAATTTATTTACTGTAAGTTATTCTTATATACCTAAAAAAAAGTTTAGTGATATTTACTCTTACAGTGGAACTATGCAATATTATTTAAAGGAACAGAAAATATGATGTCATTTTCTTTATGAGTTCAAATAATTTAAATATGTCAATTGGAGGAAATACAAGTTGATCGTTTATTAAAGATGCATAAATATTCACATATACAAGTACTTGTTCCTTAAATCTTGATATTTAAAGATATTGTAATTATATTTTCTCCTTGTGACTACACCTTGTAAGTACTTGAGGGTTGGTTTCCCTCATTTATAAGTCATAGAATGTCAAACACAGGCATAGTAATTATCAGCTTCCTTACAACCTCTATATATGTAAGAGATATAATGTATTTCTTTCAGTAACAAACCTTTAGAATGCCAGTGATTCTCTAAAGGAATAGAAGGTAGGATGATGGGTGGAGGTGATAATGAAAGGAACTCCACCACTTTGGGAGACAATAGAGTCTCCAAGAGCTGTGGACTGGAAAAAAAAAATCCCAGATTATTATAATATGCTTCAAACTTCCTCCTAACTCTTGGTTGAGAATAATTGTTTTAAAGAATGTACTCAAATTTTAATGTGTACTCTCATTTATTCAGAATCCAAACATTTATACGTTTTAAAGCATTAAACATTTTTAACATTTTAAGACATTAAACATTAAACATTTTTCATATTCTATTTCTATAAGCCATAAAGAAATGGTAATTAAGCGATTTATTATTAACAATATAGTTTTTAAATTACCTTCTGAAGTTGTATATAAGTCTATATCCAGTACCCTGTACAATAATTATTTTCAAATTATATTCAGTTTAATTTTAATGAGAACATTTTTATTTGGCTGTCTTTTCATTTTGAAATTATATATCTATTTATAGCATAAGAGAACACTCTTGATAAAACACCCCTACTCAGAGCATTTCAGGACATATAGGAATGCTTAAATAATTGGTTACTTCCTAAATCATCTGAAGGTGATATTAACCATGATTTATTAAGCATCTATGATCTACCAGAAAATCAACTTAGCACTTTATTATTTTTATCTGTATATGAAGCTTTTTCAGCAATGTTCAACTCTCCAATACCATCTAGGCATCCTGCAAATCAATTTAATTTTGATACTAACTGCCCAGGGTCAATAGAGAACCCACAGGCTGAGGGCTCAGTCCCACAAAATGATCACCACCACAAGACATCAGCCCAAGTTAACTGCACTCTACCTAGCTTACTACAGATTTGAGAGTTCCCATGAATCTCTCCTCAAGTTCAATTATCTGATAGAATTAGGCACAGAAAGCCAGGCGCAGTGGCTCACTCCTGTAATCCCAGCACTTTGGGAGGCAAAGACGAGAGGTTCACTTGAGGTCAGCAGTATGAGACCAGCCTGGTCAACATGGTGAAAACCCATCTCTACTAAAAATATGGAAGTTAGCCTGGCCTGGTGGTGGCTGCCTGTAATCCCAGCTACTCAGGAGGCCGAGGCAGGAGAGTTGCTTGAACCTGGGAGGCGAGTTTGTAGTGAGCGGAGATCACGTCACTGCACTCCAGCCTAGGCGACAAAGTGAGACTCTGTCTCAAAAAAAAAAAAAAGAAAAAAAAAAGAATTATGCACAGAACTCAGGAAAGTGCTGTACTTGTGATTGCAATTTTATTATAAAGAAAACCAACTAGGAATAGCCAAAAGGAAGACATTCACAGGACAAGGAAATGGGGACGAAGGGAAAACTTTCATGACTTCTTCTGGCATGCCACTCTCCCAGCATATATGCATCCATTGTGTTTACCAATTCAGAATCTCTCCAAAACTCATTGTTAAAAGATTTTTATCAAGGCCTTGTAAAATAGGCATGATTGATTAAATCATTGGTAATTGGTTCAAATTAGAGTAATTCACATATCCATAAACTCAAATATTTATTATTTCTTTGTATCGGGAATATTCAATTCTGAACTCAATCATCATCCCTCCTCCCATCCCTGGAGGTTGGTGGATGGTGCTAAAGGTTTCAACCCTCTAATCACCTGCATGGCCAGTCCCTCCCTTGAAAATATTATCTAAGTTCCCACAATGAGTTACCTTGTTCGCATAAACTCAGGTACGGTCAAAAGGGACCTGTTGTGAATATCAAAAGATGCTTTTATCACTCAGAAAATTGCAAGGGCTTTTGATGTACTGTGTGAGAAACTGGTGACAAAAAGCAAATATATATTTTAATTATACCACACTCTGGTAATACCAGCAACACAGTTTTAAGAGGCAAGTACTCTTAGCCAAATTTAAATATGAAAATTAAAAATCAGAGAGAAAAAATATCTTGCTGCTAACCATACAACGAGCAAGTGGCAGAGTCATGACTTGATGTCAAGTGTTCTGGAATCCAAAGACTTCCATTTGGTTTAGCTATAGCTTCCATGTATTTCAGAATTTTATAAAAGATTTATAATGACTCTAAAAATCATAAATATTGTTATATTTTATAAGGTGAAAAATGTGTATAACCCAACTATTATTTCTGATTGACTGATGAAGATGTGGCTAGACTATTGTGTTGAGAGAGATTCTGTGGTTCTAGAATAAAGTGTAGCAGCACAAATATCATTTTTTAACTCTGGAAAAAAATAAATTTAACTGATTGTTTGCTCTTCTGTGCACTGATAATAACTTGTGTATATTATATTTTACATGTAAATTTGATTATCATTTCCTTAAGAAAAATATCTTCTAGTCATTAGCACAATGGGTGCAGTATCAGGAATGCTTAAATAAGATTTGTGGTTTTATCACTTACTATATAAGTGTACTTGGGATGTTTACTTAAATTCTCCATGCTTCAGAGAGATTTTTAAAATAAAATACACTAATAATATTGTGAAGATTAAACGAGATAATGCATGTAAGGCAATTAAACATGGGATTTGCACTCCATAAATGTCAAGATCATTATTATCATCATTAGTTTAAAATCAACCTAATAAGTAATGTTGTCAGCAAAACAACAGACAAGGAAGATCCAAGACCCCATTAAGACATCAAAAGCAAAACAAAAGAAAATAAAATGGTTTAAATTACCTTATTGGAGGCCTGGGAAACAATCAGAGGTCTACAGCAACAAAGCAAATACTCATTTTTTTAAAAGCCATTTTAAAAACAGTAGGAAATTTCATTGCATTTCTGGCCACCATGTCCTACACCCTGTCCAGCATGGTGTGGCTATCTAATTTCCAATTCCCTCCCTTGAGCCAGAGAGAGTAGAGCAGACCTTATTGGCTACTTATTTGAACCTCCCAGGTTCAAGCAACTCTCCTGCCTCGGCCTCCTGAGTAGCTGGGATTACAGGCAGCCACCACCATGCCAGGCTAATTTTCATATTTTTAATAGAGATGGGTTTTCACCATGTTGACCAAGCTGGTCTCGTACTCCTGACCTCAAGTGAAACTCTCGTCTTTGCCTCCCAAATTTAAAGGTTACAAGTTCAACCTTATTTGCTACTTTCTAATATGTCTGAGGGCTTTCTGAATAACTTGTCTTTGTATTGCATAACTCAGATCTCCAGTAGGGGGGAGGTGAAGTGGCATAACTCAAGCCTGGGGCAAAGAGAAACACAGGCACTGCCCAGGAACATGAAGGGGGACACACACCAACAAATGTCTGGAGTAAGAGATTATAGGTGGAGCCCTACAACAAACAATATAAGGCAGCATCCCAGTTACCAATGCCATTCTTCAAATGGAAGGTAGTAGAGCAGATTTCATTTATAATGTTCTAACCTGTCTGGGTGTTTAAGTAACTGGTCTCTATTTTGCGTAATTCAGATTATAGGCAGGGAGAAGCAGTGGGCCCTTATTGGAAAATCTTCAAAGTGAGCAAGACCCACAGATGCCTGCAGCAAGAGATGATGGGTGGAGACTTGGAATAGATGATCTAAGGCCCAAGAGGAGGCTGAGGTAAAACACTTTAGAAGATTAAGACATTTAAAAGTAGCCATGTATATAGAGAATCAAAAAGCCACACACAGGCCAGTAAAGATGTATACTTAGAAAATGTCTGAGAGACCTTAATCATTCCAATTTGGCTAATCACAAGACATATATGATGGGTGATATTATGTGTCAAATTGACTGGGTTATGACATGCCCAAATAACTTCTTAAACATTATTTTTAAGCATATCTCTAAGGGTGCTTCTGGAAGAGATTAGCATTTGAATTGGTGATGTGAGTAAAGAAGATTGCCATCACTAACATAGGTGGCATTATCTAATTCTTGAGAGCCTTAACAGAACAAAAAGGCAAAGTAAGCTTGAATTCACTCTCTGTCTGACTGCTTGCTCTGGGACATCAATATCCTCCTGCCCTTGGTGCTCCTAATTCTCAGGTCTTCAAATTTGGACCAGAATCTACACCATTGGCTCTCTGGCTCTCAGGCCTTCAAAGTGCACCACCAACATTCCTGGGTTGCCAGCTTGCATGTGGAAGATTGCAGGACTTCTTGGTCTCCATAATTCTGTAAGCCAATAATTTTGTAAGCCATAATACTGTAAGCCAATATCTTATAAATTTTGCCTGTGTGTGTGTGTGTGTGTGTGTGTGTGTGTGTGTGTGTATCTCCTAATGGTCCTGTTTTTTTGGACAACCTGATCTAACACAGCCTAGAACATGCCCAGCTAATTAGTGAAGGATATTTTCCAGGCACAGAGCCAGTTCAAAAAGACTAGGAGAGGTGACTGATTTTTTTAAAAAAATGCCCAACTTTCAACAAAATATATCCACAGGCATACACAGAAACATAAACATGCCCTGTTCAAAGGAAGAAAATAAAATAGCAGAAATCTTTTCTGAAAAATAGACACACATCTGACTTACCAGCCAAAAAAACATAAAACAATTATAAATATAATCAAAGAGCTAATAAAAAACATAAACAAAGGACTAAGGAAAACCAGGAAAATAATCTATAAATGAGAATACCAATAAGAAATATAAATTATGAAGAGGAACCACACAAAAATTTTGAAGATAAAAATATAACACCATATTTAAAAATTTCCCTGAGAGAATGAGCAGCAGGCTCAAACAGGTTAAAGAAATAATTAATGAAATAAAAGATAAGATATTTGATAATTTCCTGTCTGAGGATCAAAAGGAAAATTAAGGATGAAGAAATGTGAACAGAGCCTAAAAAAATATAGAACACCATTAAGCAAAACAATATTTGCACTATGGGAGTTCTAGGAAAATATAGACAGAGAAAGGGGAAGAGTGCTTATTTTAAGAAAGAATGGCCCAAAATTTTGCATATTTGAGGAAAGACATAAAGCATCAAATCCAAGAAGCTAAACAAACTCTATGTAAGTAAACCCATAAAGACCCACAATAAGATACATGATAATCGAACTATCAGAAGGCAAAAACAAAGGAAGAATATTAAAGCAGCAAGAGGAAAGGGACTTATATACAATGGGTATATATTTTTCAATAAAAAATGCAGCAGATTTCTCAGTAGAAACATTGGAGAACAGAGACAATGGAATGATGCATTTAAAGTATAGAAGAAAAAAACTGTCTAATGAGATATTTTATATTTGACAAAATTGCCCTTCAAATTGAAGAAAATTTAGACATTCTCATGTAAACCAAAACTGAAAAATGCTATTTTCACTAGACCTTCCTTACATGAATTGCTAAAGAAAGTCTCTCAGGTTGAAATAAAATGATGCTAGATAATAAATTAAAGATTTATGAAAATATAAATATCTTCACCAAAGGTAAATACATGAGTAAATACAAAAACCAGTATTGTTGTAATTTTTATTTGTAACTTCACTTTTTATTTTATATAGGATAAATAAAAAATTATAAACACATGTTGGTGGGCACAGAATATATTAAAAATACTATTTGTGGAATCAATACCATAGAATGAGGGTAGACAGAACTGTAAATAAGAAGAGTGCAGCAAAAGCATTGCTAAGGGAAAAATTTGTACCTGTAAATAATTGCATTAAATCAAAGAAGAAAGATCTGAAATCAACAACATAACTTCATATGTTAAGGAACTACAAAAAGAAGAAACTAAACCCAAAAGTAGTAGAAAAAATACATAATAAAGATAAGAGCAGAGAAATTAAAAGGAGAAAATAGAAAAACAATATAGAAAAATCCATGTATCCAAAAGTTTGTTCCTCAAAAACATAAACAAAGTTGTGAAACATTTAGGTAAGTTAACTAATAAGAAAAGAGATTTTTCAAGCTACTAAAATGAGCATTGAAAGTGGGTACATTACTACTGACTTCATAAAATAAATGGAATAAATAAAATAAAGATTTAGTAAATATAAGGCTTAAAATAATGTTCTATGAACAATGGTATGCCAACAAACTGAATAAATGAAATGGACAAATTCCTAGATACACATAACTTATCAAAACAATAAAGAAGAATAAAAATGTACATATATTGATAATTCATAATCAAAAACCTCACAGCAAGAAAAGTCCTAGACAAAATGGCTTCACTGATGAATTCTACTGAACATTTACATAAGAATGAACATGACTCTGGCTCAAACTCTGAAAAATTTGGAGAGAAGAATACACTTTCAAATTCATTATATGAGACCAGCATTACCCAGATATCAAAGCCAGCTGAGGACGCACACACACACAAAAATGTTTGCACAGGATATGCTACATTGCTGCCCCACTGCTGCTGACATATGTGTATGAAAACAGATCTCACTGCTACTGTGCCTATAAAGCACTTTCTTTGGCACCTCCAATTTGAGTGTCATGGCCAGTGGACTGGGAACACCTTGGCCCCTCCAGCTTAGCATGTGGTTAACCTCAAGGCGTAAGACAACAAAGCAGTAGGTCTGGTCCCAGCTCTTCACGGATGGAGCATGCAGCCCAGTGGTGCTGAGCTGAGCCTGGGCCCCATGAAATTATCTAGAAATGAAGCCACCTGACTGAACCCAACTTATATCACAGTCAAACACTGAAGGGCATAAAGTAATATAAAAGCTAAAAGCCCCATTCAGAAGACAGTGACTTCAAAAATTAAAGGAACATTCATACAGAACCAGTACAAGATCTCTGGCAACTAAAAAAGCCATTGTCTTTTACCTCCAAATGACTGAACTAGCACCCCAGCAATGGTTCTTAACCAGCCTTAAGTGGCTTAAATGTCAGACATAGGAATTGGAATCTTGATGGCAATGAAGATCATAGAGATTTAGGATTAAGTTGAAATCCAATCCAAAGAATCCAGGAAAATAATACAAAAACTCACAGACAAAAAAGTTATTTTAAGAAAGAACCAAGCTGATCTTCTAGAACTGAAAAACTCACTACAATAATTTCATATTACAATTGAAAGTATTAACAGCAGAATACGTAAAGCAGAGGAAAGAATCTCACAGTTTGAAGAGTGGGTATTTGAATCAACTAAGTCATACAAAAATAAAGAAAAAAAAAAGAATCAGAAAATTTTCTGATAAATATAGCATTAAGTAGAGACCAAAGCTATGACACATTGGCAACACTGAAAGAGAGTGAAAGCAAGCAACTTGCAAAGCATATTTGAAGATGTTGTGCATAAAAAATTTTCCAACCTCACCAGAGAGGTCAAATTTTAAACAAAATTTCAGAGAATCTTGTGAGATCCTATAGAGAACAACCATCTCAAAGACACACAGTAATCACTTTAACCAAAGGTCAATGCAAAAGAAAAATATTAAAGTAAACTAGTATTATTTTAGAAAATGTCTGTTTGTCCTTTGCCCACTTTGTTATGGGTTTTTTTTTCTTGTAAATTTGTTTAAGGTCCGCATAGATGCTGGATATTGATCTTTGTTGGACGCATAGTTTGCAAAAATAATGATCTCATTCTATAGTCTGTTTACTCTGTTGATAGTTTTCATTTGCTGTGCAGAAGCTCTTTAGTTTAATTAGATCTAATTTTTAAATTTCTGTTTTTGTTGCAATTGCTTTTGGTGTCTTCATCATGAAATTCCTGCCTGTGCCTATGTCCTGAATGGTATTGACTAGGTTGTCTTCCATGGTTTTTATAGTTTAGAGTTTTACATTTAAGTCTTTAAGCCATTTGAGTTAATTTCTGCATATGGTGTAAGGAAGAGGTCCAGTTTCAATCTTCACCATATGGCTAGCCAGTTATCCCAGCACTATTTGTTTAATAGAAAATATTTTCCTTTTTTTGGTCAGGTTTGTTGAAGATCAGATAGTTGTGGGGGTGTGGTATTATTTCTGGGCTCTCTATTCTGTTCTATTGTCCTGTATGTGTCTTCTTGTACCAGTACCATGTTGTTTTGGTTACTGTAGCCTTGTAGCATAATTTTAAGTAAGGTAGTGTGTCCGAAATTGGTGGGTTCTTGGTCTCACTGACTTCAAGAATGAAGCCGCAGACCCTCGCTGGTGAGTGTTACAGTTTAAAGATAGTGTGTCTGGAATTTGTTCCTTCTGATGTTCGGACATATTCAGAGTTTCTTCCTTCTGGTGGGTTCATGGTCTCGCTGGCTTCAGGAGTGAAGCTGCAGACCTTCACGGTGAGTATTACATCTCTTAAGGTGGCACATCTGGAATTGTTTGTTCATCCCGTCTGGAGTTGTTCATTCCTCCCAGTGGGTTTGTGGTCTCACTGGCCTCAGGAGTGAAGCTGCAGACTTTCGCAGTGAGTGTTACAGTTCATAAAGGCAGTGCCGACCCAAAGAGTGAGCAGCAACAAGATTTATTGCAAAGAGCGAAAGAACCAATCTTCCACAGTGTGGAAGAGGACCCCAGCGCGTTGCCGCTGCTGGTTTGCACAGCCTGCTTTTATTCCCTTATCTGACCCCACCAACATCCTGCTGATTGGTCCATTTTACAGAGAGCTGATTGGCCCATTTTACAGAGAGCTGATTGGTCCATTTTGACAGGGTGCTGATTGGTGCATTTACGAACCTTGAGCTAGACACAGAGTGCTGATTGGTGCATTTACAATCCTTTTGCTAGACACTAAAGGTTTCCAAGTCCCCACTAGATTAGCTAGACAGAGCACTGATTGGTGCATTTACAAACCTTTAGCTAGACACAGAGTGCTGATTGGTGCATTTACAATCTTTTAGCTAGACACAGAGTGCTGATTGGTGTATTTACAATCTTCTAGCTAGACATAAAAGTTCTCCAAGTCCCCACCCGACTCAGGAGCCCAGCTGGCTTCACCTAGTGATCCGTTGCTGGAGCCGTGGGCGGAGCTGCACGCCAGCTCCTGCACTCCTCAGCCCTTGGGCAGTTGATGAGACAGGGCGCTGCAGAGCAGGGGTGGAACCCTTCAGGGAAGCTCAGGCCACGGGGCAGAGAGGGGCCAGAAGCTGCGGAGGGTGCACTAGAATTCTCGCTGGGCCTCAGCTGCCTCCCCGTGGGGCAGGGCTCAGGACCTGCAGCCTGCCATGCCTGAGCACCCCCTCCACGGACACAAAGAAGGGAACAACAGACACTACAATATGGCCATTTAATAAAAACTTTGGGACTTGAAAAGTAAATCATATGTAACATTTAATATTGATCCTGAAATGAAATTTCTTCCATCAAATATTAAAAGATAATATTTTACCATGTTAAATATTTAAATAAGTAAATATGTTAAAATTATTTTATTTCACAAAACCACACAAGAAACCACTGGAATGGCTTTAAGTGTATTAAATACAGTGTTCTTTGACATGTATATATCTATTTCTATAAATAGTGTTTTACTAGTCATTGAAAAAGTAAAAAAAAACTGTTTTGTGTCATTTAGTAATTAAAAATTGTATTTTCAAAATAATTTGAGTAATTATGTCCCATTTGTCTGAATTGATTGGATAATATGAAATATTGGCTGTAGAATGGGAAAATGGTAGAATACTCTCTTATTTAATATCTCCATTTTAGGTAACAGTAAGCTGATATTTCTAAATGCTTCTACTTCACTTAAAATTTTAAGCCATATATGCCAACAAAAAACAACCAATTATTGGTTATTATTACCTATGTGAAACAAAAATAAATCTTGGGACCCCAAAATCACTAAGCTAAAGGGAAAAGTCAAGCTGGGAACTTCTTAGGGCAAACCTGCCTCCCATTCTATTCAAAGTCATTCCTCTGCTCACTGAGATAAATGGATATCTGATTACTTCCTTTGGGAAGAGTAATCAGAAACTTAAAATAATGCCACTTTTGTCTCTTATCTACCTTGGATGCCTCCTCCTCACTTGGAGTTGTCCTGCCTTTATGGATGGAAGCAATGTACATCTTACATAAATTGAATGATGTCTCCTATCTCCCTAAAATGTATAAAACCAAGTTGCGCTTTGACCATCTTGAGCACATGTCGTCAGCACCTCCTGAGGTTGTGTTGTGGGCACTCATCCTTAACTTTGGCAAAATAAACTTCTTAAACTTCTGAAATTGACTGAGACCTGTCTCAGGTATTTAGGGTTCACACCTAATTATGTAAGTTTGCAGTGCTGAATTAACTCAGCTTGGCATAGAATTGCATTAACTTATTTTCCAACATCTACCTACGGTACTGCCAAACACTTCCTTTAGAAATTGCTTACACTGTTGAGAAATGGATGCAACTGGTGTGGATTCTTCTCTGGGACACACTGCTGAGTTTCTTCCAGCACAATGAAGGGAGCTTTCACAAGTCAGGTTCTCCAGCCATAACTCAAAAAATTGTCACCCATGATAGTAAATGTGCTAGTTACCTAGGGGGAGGAAAAAAAAAAAACTTGTAATAGCATGAGAACTGCTGATATAGTACAGAGTAGTATGATTACCCTTTGTATAGTGAAACTGAAGTGTTTTCTTCTATTACTAACCCCCTACATCTCACTAGTCACACTTTTTAGGCCTTTTATATTTACACTACTATCCATGCCCTTTTTTCTATATTTTTCTTCCCAAATCACCTTATTAGTTTTAAATATCACATCTCTTAATGAAAGAAGGAAATATGGGATGAAGTACTTTACATTGATATCCTAGAAGCTTCTAGGTACATTTGTCATGTTACTATATTGATTAAAATCAGACAAACCTTTAATTGCTGTTTTGGAAATGAAAATAGGGTCAGAAAAGAAACCATCCCTTTGACAGGGCTCTGAAGTCAAGAAGAAGGTGAAGGAGCCTAATGAATTCCACAAGGCAAGTAAACTTTATTAATTGCTTCTAGAGATCAGCCCTACTAATCACATTGCCTGTTTCTATAAAGTTAACGAATTAAGTTGACCTTTTATCGCATTCTCTACAGTTCTCTACTGCTGTTCTGAAAACATTTTGCATATGGTATATGACACTGTGGCCTGAGAGCAACAATGTAAGTATATATCTATGAGCACAGCAGTTCTGTGTAGTAAGCAACTGAGCAAGCATTTCAGCAATGATCTGAAAATGTAGATAATATCTGACAATTCCAGCAGATGGCCACCATTAATGGGTAGCTATTATCTCATTTGTAAAATCAGAGCAGTAGAATTGATTCTATCCATTTATAAAACTAGCAGTTTCTTTCACAATTTGTGTATGCATTGACTTCCAGTAATACTTGTACTTAGCAATGCCAGTATTATTTGCATAATTTTTAAAAGTCTGCTTGAAGATTATGTTTAAAATTCAAAAATATAAAAAATGTATGATCTCAAAATAATAAGTTTGCTTTTTTTCCACTTCAATTTTTGGTCCCACTTCTCAGGGTTACTCCAAATTAATTAATATACACATGTTTGAAGATTTTACTTCAAATGCAGAAAATTGCTACGGCATATTGTATTTTTCAAAAATTGTCACATCATTTAGATCAGAGATCCATTCTCTTATGTTCTTCTAGAATTTTGCTACTCTTCATTAAGGGGTATAATATACTTCCCCTTCCCTTTAACCTAGGCAGGCCTATGCTTTTGCCTCAAAAAATATAATGTGATGGAAGTCATACTGCTTTGACCTCCAATACAATTATAAAATGCATTATGGTTTCTATCTTCCTCTTTATTTTGGAATGGTAGTCCTTGTCACCCACTCACCATGTGGTGAGGAAGCCCAGGTAACATAGAATAGACATAGGTCTCAACCAGCAGCACACATCAACTACTAAACATATGAATACACAAGCCTTTAGATAAATCCAGCCCCCAAATCCATACTTTAAATCATTCCACCTTATGCCAAGTAGAGCAGAGATGAGCTAATCTCAGTCACATGCTGCACAAATTGCAAATGTTTGAGCACTATAATTTTGTTTTAAGCCACTAAGATTTTGAGTTATTTGTTACTCAGGAATAGTATCTGGAATATTTGCCAATTCTAAGATAGCATCCCTGGTATCTCTTCTTCTTATAAGGACATCAGCCATATTGGATTAAGGCCCCATTTAACTTTAACTCTTTAAATGCTACATCTCCAAATACACTCATATTGTGGATTAGAGTTTCAACATATGAATTTGGGAGGGATGCAATTCCGTCCATAACTATGTGCATGTGTATATATGTAAATATATGTCAAATATACACATATATATTAAAATTTTATCTGACTGCATACTTAAGATATGTTTTTCATTGTATGTCAGTTAAACTTCAATAAATTGAAAAATTGTGGCATAAAGTTATTTTTATATGCATCTTTGTGAAATTTACTCTCTTCATGAAATAAAAGTTTTATTATTTTCCTGTTCCATCTTGGACTCTACTACTTTTTAAGTAAATTGTAACTAATCAGCCCAAATATATATAGACTCTCCAAAACAATAAATGAATCTATAAGTTCCAATGTACAATTTCTCTCCTCTGAAAGTATCTCAATTAAACTACTTATTTGATGCAGAGTAAAATATTATTCATTTTCTTCATGATTTGGCCACTGTTGTTTAAGCATGTTTGATTTCCTTTTTCCCAGCATAGTCTGCCTATTAATGGCAAGTATGATCCTCTCCACCCTAGCTGCCTGCCCCAGGTATAAAAGCTACCATGAATCTCAGTTTACACACCAAGGGCTTGTTTCTTTCTGGGATTCAGTTCATCAAGACATTGTTAAATTCACCACTCTTCATTAGCCCTATGGGGTAAGTTTTAATTTGTCTGATTTTTCATGTGTGAACCCAAGATAAAAGATCTTTTCTATCCTATCTAAATCCCAACCATAAGAAAAACTCTTAGCAGTTAAATTTAATAGTATGATGTGTTTGCAAATTGTAGGAATTACATTTATTGGATTTTCTCTTGGCAAAGTACAAGAAAATCTAAGACAGGACAGGGACCTAT
The DNA here is from genome assembly GCF_000001405.40 of Homo sapiens. NCBI lineage: Eukaryota > Metazoa > Chordata > Mammalia > Primates > Hominidae > Homo > Homo sapiens. The sequence goes on along the minus strand of NC_000024.10, from coordinate 4,493,858 downwards.
AACAATGTGCAAGACTACATCAATTTTGAGTAGTGTGTCTTTTAGTTATACAATGAAACTTCAAATGATAGATAAAATTGCAAATATGGTATCCATTTTAAGGTATTTTGTTTTTGGCTTGAATAAAAATAAGTTTATGTAGATATTTTATTTTTTAATTATAAAGATGTTTTATAAAAATTATATAATCAGCATGATGTAGAGACACTTTTTCATGTAACTACATTAGTAAAGTCTAGAGGAGCTGGCTGATAGATAATCTGTTTTCTATCAGGAATATTCTGTCAATGATCACAGAATTTCAGCATTAAAATTAGATGAACCACATGGGTTTGAAATGTCTTGAAATTGAAAAATATAACAGAGGCTCTGTTAAATTACTGGTATGTAAATTTCAGGATATACTATGTCATAATTTGTTTTGCTCCCACATTATAGAATAATCATTATTGTTGCCTGCATAAGTTGAAAGAAATAGAATCTTGTAAATATTGACTCGTTAAAGTAAAGAATTATAAATTTTCAGGTGTGCCTTATTCTGACATAGAAAGAATCAATATATACTCAATAATTATATACAATATATGCAAAGAAATGCAAGTAGACATGGAAAGATTTTGAAGTTTGACAATCTCTGATATAAAGACCTTATGAAAGGTCATGATTTCCTATAGTGTCTGTGATAGGAAAGGAAAATAAAGGCTACTGAAGATCAATTCCTGATGAATGCAATGTATCTACCAATGTCAACTATCTTCTACATGTCAAAGACAAAGGACAGGAATATGAAGTACCTTTAAACTACATCTATAATCCCCAACTATTTATATATTTGTGGCATGCTACAGGCTTTGATACGTGGCTGGCTGATGTTTACATAAGGGGAAGAAATGCCATAAATTTTTAATATGTAAGTCTCTACCATTGTTATATCACTTCATTGTAATTTCAAAATAATCAAATTATTGATGGCCCTACCCAAAGTCAATGACGTTTTTTTTTTTTTTTTGAGACAGGGTCGTATTACGTTGACTAGGCTAGAGTGCAGTGGCACAGTCCTGGCTTATTGTAGCACAGGCTTCCCAGGATCAGGTGATCCTCTCACCTCAGCCTCCCAAGTGGCTGGAACTACAGACGCATGCCACCACACCTGGCTAATTTTATTTTATTTTATTTTTTGTAGAGACGGGGTCTTGCTATGTTGCCTAGGCTGGCCTCAAACTCCTGGACTCACGTGATCCTCCTGCTTCAGCCTCCCAAGTGCTGGGATTACAGGTGTAAGCCGTTGCGCTCGAACCACTACTCCATTCTTTATTAAAAGAACTTCAAGTTTATTTAGGCTGTCAATGAGTCCAAATAGAAATACCTAATTTCCCAGCCTCCCTTGAAGCTGCAGTGAATTTGTGACACAATTCTAGTCAATGAGATATAGGCAGGAATTTCTGGGGAGGAAATCCATTTTTAATAAAAAGGCAACATGTCTCTAGGAAGAATCTCTTCATCATTTCACCTTTTGCCCTTTTGCCTGTCTAACTGGTTTTAAAGCCAGCAGGTCTTATATGACTACTGGATACCCTTGAGCATGAAAGCCTTTACACTCTAAGATAAGCAGAATTGAAAGTTGGAAAGATCTTGGCTCCCTGTTGGCATTGGTGAATCTCATTAACAACCCTGAACTTCCTGCCACTGGGCTTCTTTTCATGTCATAAAAATAAATTCTTCTCTGTTTAGCCATATTCTTTGAGTTTGCTATTACTCATAACTGAACATATCCTGACCTGATGACAGAAGAAGTGAAATTTTATAAATCAAAGCTGTTCTTTTGTGGATGTGGTTTATGAATTGTAAGATTAAAAAAGAAAACCCTGTTAAGGAGTTGTTTATTGTAAAGTTCTGAGGACTCATGTATAAACTCTCCTGGACATCATTAAGTCTTCATATTTGGTACAGATATATTTTAAGGAATGGTCTGTTTATAACTGTTAAGAGAGGACAATAGGGTTGCAAGTTGTTTAAAAATATGAGGGAAGCATTGGAAATTTTAGGTATTGACATTTTCAATTTAATTTAATTAATGAGTCATGAGAAACAGAAATTGCTTTATGAGCTCAAAATAGGTATGTAGCAAAAAGCAAAAAATATCTTCTTGTGGTGCATTCAAAGTAGAATCTCATTTGTTGGATGGGATCTCTGTAAAAAACAGCATAGCACAAAATGGGGAAAGGGAACCTAGTATTGCAATTAATTGGTGCAATTCAATTGCACCAATAATGGGTGCAATTAAAAATGTAATGAACCTTTTCAAGGGCTTTTGTTTATGGTATGAACATAAATACCTATGCTTTAGAAATTACATGAAAACCTTTGAAATTATCTTAAAAACTGGGTGATATAGAGGACTTATCTATGTTGTTGATTCAGGAAAGTTCAGAAAGCTCAGTAAACAGTCTGATGTTCTTGATAAGAGCAAGAGAACATCAGCGGTCACACATGCCATCTTTTATATGGAATATGCAACCTAGACCTAAAAGTGCCTGAGAGCAAGAAGTGTATAATTGTGATCTACAGTACATATTATGTGGCAGGTATATGTAGAAGGACAGGACAACTCATATTGAAATTGCTATGTCAGTAATATATGAACAAGTTCCTTATATGGTACCAGATTCTAGCAAATATATCATCAAATATCAGATTTGTTCATTTTGCCCGTGAATATGCAGCATAGGTCAGAAACAGCTTTTGACTACAAAGAGTTCCTTCTTGAATCTGTTTATTACTTTTCCTTGCTGGAGGCCCTGTTATGTGGTAGATGTGTGTATAAGGACAGGCAAAGTTATGGTGAATTTGCTGTGTCTAAAGCATTTGCCTATGAAGCATAGACATTTAAATGTAATTTGAATAAAACATTTCTAAAGAGGCTGATTTGGTTAATCAAAGCAACTCATTTTAAGGAATTTTGTATATCTTCAGTTGAAGAGTCTTCTTTAAATGGTTGGCTAATATAAAATATTTAGAATCTTTCTGTGAAACTTAAATTTCTGTAATAAGATAAAAAATCTTTGGGATTCTCTCAAGTTCCCAAGATGGAAAAAGTATTAATAAGTTTAAAGGGATGCCAGGTTTTTAGATAAAGTCTGAAGAGAAGTTACATAGGAAAAAATGTTCAAAGCAATGAAAATGTTCTTTAAACATGATGTGTATGTGTGTGTGTGTGGTGTGTGGTGTGTGTGTGCATGCACAGATGTGTATGTGGGAGTGTGTATGTTCAAGTTAGAATGGTTTCCACTGTTGGTGAAATGGGTCCATAATTTGTAGGGATTTTATTCATTGTATGTGTCCTCTACAAAAGGCAACTATTCCAGAATGGGGGCAGAGATTTATAAGCTTACTTAGGATGGCATTCAATACATAATTTGTTGTTTAGCAGCAAGAGAAGAGTTTGGTGACTACTTGATCATAAAGTAATAACCTCCTTCTAGTAGATTGTGCTTCCTGAGCAAAACAAAACTCTTTTATGATGAAACTAGTCTTAGATAATGATCAGTTTTTAAATGGAAAATACCATGAAATAAAAATGAAAATTGTAAAAATTAAAGTAGAGGTTCCTCTTCAAAGACTTTCCTCCCCGTCTAATTAGGAATAAATAGTAACTTCTCTTAGAAGCAAAATGTATTCAAATACCTGTGCTAACATTCTGAAATATCTGCTAGCCGTCATAAAGAAATCAATGTACTTTATGTTCTTAGCTCCCACAATTTAGCCTAAATATTTGCCCTGGCATGCTTATACTGGTCCAAGCAAGCATTAGGTCATAGCCTGTTCCTCTTCCTTACTTAAAAGTGTTTTTACCCTTCTCAGCATTCCACAAGTTACTTCCTCCTTCCTTTGTTCTCCTCTCCTTTTGCCTCTTTTAAAAAGTTCTAAGTTGCTAGCCAGTTGGGACAAACACAGAATGTGAGGTCTCCTTCCAGCCAATGGAAACCGGACACAGCAGTAGGGTGGACGCGTCAGGTTATAAATGACCCTGTCGTCTCCTTTGTTCAGTGTACTGTCATGGCAAAACTTCTGGCAAGTGTACCCTTTCTGCAGGAAGTAAAAATAGCCTTACTAAATAAATTAAATTTATGTTCAAGTGCTATTTTTTTAAGGGCATGGAAGAAGTATTTCAAACAAAAATGAAATGTTTAAGTGAAATTGTTGAAGTCCCTTTGAAAGTAATCCTGCATAATCTCTTTCCTTAAAAGGTTAACCCAAGGGAACTTTCAGATCTCCGTAAGCTTAAGTTCCAATTTTGTTTGTACTTGTATACCATATTGGAGCCCTGCTAAATAACTAGTTATGCATAATTGTAGGAGCTACTATTGTTAATTCGATAAAATGTGAATGAAATACATTTATGGGAATTGTGATATGTTAAGTCATATAATTTCAAATTGAAAGAGCCTAGAATGTGATGTCTATTTCCTTTGTTCAATCAATCAGCTTAAAGGGAATGAAGACTACTTGAGATTCAGAGATCACATCTTTGGTCAGCTATGTGCACATGTAGGAATACCCTTCCTATCTTAGTGGGTAAGTCTGTGAGTTATGGAGAAAGCTTATATTGAGTGAACCCTGTAAAGGAAAGGAGACCACAAGCAGGGGCAAGGTTCTCTTAGGTTACATGGTAACACATTGAGAAAAGATGGCTTTATTTTAGCTGCATGGAGTAACTTGAAAGGACTGATGTCAATGAAAATTGTAAAGGCCTCCCTCAAGAGGCTAGTGTCTTTTGTGTGAACTGTAGGACATTTATGGGGGAGGACACTAGTTTGATAAATTGTTGAGTAGAACTTTGAAAGAGTGTGGAGTTGGCAGGATGTTAAAGATGTCTCTATGGTGTCTGTGGATCGATAAGGCACAGAGGACCTGTCAAGAGTTTTGTGATCCTGCTGTGAGAACAGAAAAAGCCAAGGTCAGTTTCTTTGGCATGTAAAGGAACATGCAATAAAAACCTGAAGAGCCTGTATTCCAGAAGAAGACATGGATAAAGTTATTATTGGCAAAGCCTTAAAAGCACCAAACATAAAGATAAACATTATTAGATTTGACTATGTTAAACTCAAGATATCTATTCTGCAAAAGATGCCATAATCAAAATTAAGAGAAAGATGGTTGAGTGGGAGAAGATATTTGCAATATTAATCACTGGCAAAGCATTAATAATCTCTAGAATATTACAAGGAACTCACTGAAAGTTGGCAAAAATAAAGATCAAAGCATGAAATCATTTAAGTAAAGTAAAAAAAAATGCTTATTTCCTAAAACACTGGTTTTTCTAGAGGTTTTTTCAATAGGTAAGTAGTCTTATGGAGGGTAGATTGAAAGAACACGGTAAGAAAGAGAAAATGTTAATAGTAAATAGAAGAGTAATTCATGTATTAACAGTAGTACACTATGAAATGAAAAATGTAATTAACTTAATCTGAGATTCAAAGCAAACAATTATAACAAAGGAATGGACCAGCATTCTACCTTATGTTTTCATACTAGATTAAATGTTTTTATAAATGTCATGCTCTTATAAAGGTAAAAAAATAACATAATATATGGCTTCTATATTCAAAATGGCAAGAATTCATTAGATGTCTCAGGATCCATTCATTGGCATATATATACAAGACGATACTTTGTCCACAATGAACTATACATAAAGGCAATTATACTTTTGAATTTTAACTAATGGAACATAATAGAGGTTCGATTGTCTATAAAGGAAGGATATGTTTAACTTTCAGATGGGGTTATGTTTGGAAATGGAAGTGGGAAAGTTGGTTATTTGAAATATTATAGTCTTCAATTCATGGCACACCATTTATCTCTTTTCCCATTTCCTTAACAAAAAAAGTCTAGAGATAATACAATAAATTGTTAGTCTTAACTCAGACAAATCTACTAGTGGCTGCTTTCTTTTCCACCTTGCAGATGGTCTATCATGGGACTTTGCCTTGTGATTGTGTGAGCCAATTCTCTCTATAAACTACGTTTCACATATACATATGTTCTATTAGTTCTGTCCCTCTGGACAATTGACTAATACAGATGCCAAGCTGACAGCCAAGGGAAGTACAGCTTTTAACCAATAGAACATGACTGGGGTAAATAATATTTCAAATAATAAAAACGATGTTCCAAGGGCCTACAGTGAGAGAACCTATTGTGTCACAGATACTGAAAGCCTTATGTTTTAACGTGATTGGTGTAATTGCTATGTTGAAAATAGATAGTCAAGAGGGTCAAGAGTAAGCAACGGAAGAACAGTTAGGAGGCTCTTGAAGTTTTCTGTGTAAAATATGATGGTGGCTTGGGTTAGGGTGGTAACAGTGGAGGTAGTGACAAGTAATCAGATTTGTGATACACTTTGAAGGCTGAGCCCAATGGCCTTGAGAATGGACTGGATTTGGGGGATGAGAAAAAGAAAGGGGTCAAGGATCTTCTCAAATGTTTTGGCCTGACAACCTGAATGAGTTAATAATATCATTTACTGAACTTTGACAACCTGTTAACAGAGCAAATTTAGAAGGAAATCAAAGATTTAGTTGCAGATAAGTTAAATTTAAAGTCACTTTTATATGTATAACTGAAGCTTTTGGGTATCCGGTTGAATATTGTAATGTGAATTTCAAGGGCAGGGTCTGTTCTGGAAATATGAATTCAGGAATCATGAAGACAGGGTGTTTTGTAAACCATGGGGCTGAATTAGATGACCTAGTAAATGAATGTAGATAGAGAAGTCCTAGAACTCTACCTTGGGACACTTAAACATTCAAAGCAGCAAGAGAAAGAGTATATAGCCAAGAAGAGTGAGAAAAGACAGCCAATGAGGTATGAGTCAGAAAGTCAACTGAGAAACTATTTACAAATAGTTTTTATGATGTTAGGTCACTAGAATAGCCTTTTAGAACTACCGGGTTGTAATTGTTAGTACTTCAATTTTGACCAATAAACATATATTACAGCCTATAAATTTGTGCATTTAATGACTAGCTAGGCAGAAAAACAACAACAAAAGTAGACAAAGATTATAAAAAATCTGTAAAACAATTTTAGGACATTTCTGGCAACATGCAAGTTAGCAATAAATATGAAATTTCTCATGACATCCTTTCCAAAAGACACTGAAAAAAATAAGTAAATAATAAGTATGTGTATTAGGGTTTTCTAAAGGGACAGAACTAATAGGGTTTATGTATATATGAAAGGGAGTTTATTAAGGAGTATTGACTCACACAATCACAAGGTGAATCCCCGGGGCACTCTGCAAGCTAAGGAGCAAGGAAGCCAGTCTGAATCCCAGAACCTCAAAAGGAGGGAAGCTGACTATGCAGCCTTCACCCTGGCAAATCACTGGTATAAGTCTGAGTCCAAAAGCTGAAGCACTTGGAGTCTGATGTTCGAGGGCAGGAAGCATCCAGCATGGGAGATAGATGAAGGCCAGAAGACTCAGCAAGTCTCTTTATTCCACTTTCTTCTGCCTGCTCTATTCTAGCCATACTGGCAGATGATTAGATGGTGCCCACCCAGATTGAGGGTGGGTCTGCCTCTTCCAGTCCACTGACTCAAATGTTAATCTCTTTTGGTAACACCCTCACAGAAATACCCAGGAACAATACTTTGCATCCTTCAATCCAATCAAGTTGACACTGAATATTAACCATCACAGTATGTAAGTAAAAAATAAATTTACAAAATATCAGGCAGTTAAAAAAGGTAGATACCAGATTTAGTCAGTAAAGTCACATCTTGCCTATGATTATGCACTTATAAATTTGTACATAAGGAGGAAATCTATTTCATAAAAGGTAAAAATATATGCAAAAGGAAATAGCATGATAGCATATTAGCTACCTAATTATTAAGATATTATAGAGTAATTATCAATCCATAAAAGGAAACCAGAGTTAGATAATATTTTCATTGAACAGGTAGTTATTAGAAATACATTTATAGAATTACGTAAATAGCTATGTGACTCAGAAAGTGACTAATGTTCCCAAATGATTTATCCTGTAATCTTTAAACTGATGCCCCTTTCAGCTATGTGATGCCAAATGCCAGTTAGTTTACAGGAAATTATCAAAGCCTGAAATAAACAAATCTTCTTCTAAATATCATGTCACTTTGACTAATACATGGCTGAAATGTCAGAAAGCTCTAAGAAGCTGATATATTTGGAAAGGTTGTTCCATTGATGTCATTCTTGTTTTTTAACTAAAATTTATAAGAGGTTTTCAAGCCACATTGGCTTACAAAGTATTAGGTGATTCAGTTCTTTAAGAAGTTACTATTTATTGTATTACACAACTTTCATAGACATATGACATGTCAAGGTGGTCTCTGGATTATGCCTCTGCAGTTGAAGTAAAGATCTAGATATGAGGAGACTTAAGCTTTTATTAGTAGAGTCCAGAAGAGTGGTTAAGACTCAAAATGAAGATGTGAATTATAATATGTAAGTGCTACTTGAAGCATCAATGGATAATATTGCCCAGAAAGCACACAAAAGTAAAAGGAGAAGAGAGGTTCATGGTTAATTCTGTGGCAGATACAAAAAGCACTCACAATGGAGATAGAGAATGAGAGAACCAAGAATTTAATTAAAAAATAACAAAAGAATAATGATGTTGAAATCAAGGACAAAGATATCTCAGGCAGAAAGAAGAGGCCAATAGTATGTAAACCAAAAGTATCTGAGGCTGCTCTCAGTCAGTTTAGAAAGATTTTGCCAAGGTTAAGGATGCATGCCTGAGAAGCATGTCTGTGCCTGTCTCCAAAGATGATTTTGAGGGCTTTAATATTTATAGGGTAAAGGGTGGATATGGGGAAAGAGGAAGACAGTTAAAAAAGTTGTGGGTAGATAAGAGAAAAAAGTTGCATTCTTTTGAGTCTTGGATTAGCCTTTCACTGAATACACAATTTAAATTCGAGAGAGGTGTAGCATAGTCACTTATGCCTTTGTCTGGCTCAGTAAATCTGCATTTTTATATCAGAGGAAGTAATCAGATATACATTTGTCTCAGGTGAGCAGACAGAATACAGCATTCTATCTTTTGTGTTGCACCTGTGAAGATAAGCTATCAATTTATATTGTCAGGGTAAAATTCAACAGAACCATTTTAGATAAAGATCTTGAGACTCACAAGGCATTTCCTAGTGGGAAAATTGTGAGGGAGGTATATAGCTATTCTATCTTTATAAGTATCTTATTTAGGAATAAAATGGGAGATAGATTTCCAGTTCCCACATTGATTTTCCCCTTTGGCTTAGTGATTTTGAAATCCCAAGATTTATTTTCCTTTCACAAGTATCAAATGTTGGAATCATTCCATAGGAATTGTCCATTGCCTTTAGCTCTAGAGAGTTTATTAGTAACTTGGTGAAAGCAGATTCAGATAAATAGAGTGAAAGCAAGTTTGTAGTGATTTGAGGTGTGAACAAGAGTAGGGAATCAATTCATTTTTTAACAAACTCCTCTGCAAAATGAAGAGCAATTGTAGATGACCATATTTTCTGGAGTTTCTTTGAAACATCGAAACCTTTTAAAATGTCTGTTACTCGTTTTGCATGAAATTTGTTGGAAGATGTATTACAAACTACTCTATACTCTTACCTTACACATATATAAATTAATCATTTGATAACTCAAGACAATCAATGTGATAATCAATTATTCTCCAGTATTGTAATAATGTACTATTTCAAGGACTTGCCAATGTTTGTAGACTAATGTGCTTATATTAAATTATCTTATATTGTGCATTTTGATTTATTGTATATGTTTTCTCATTGTATTTTTTTCTGCTTTTTCTCTTCCTATTAGTGCTACTTTTCAAGAAAGTCATTATATAAACTTACAGCAGCCCCCTTCCTTATTTTCTGTATTGCTTCTTCTATTAAACTTCTATTAAACTATAGCAGTGTTGACCAGCAGGGGGCATTATGACATTTAGGATAAAACAATGTTTTCAGGTGTGTGGGGCTATCTAAAAGTTTACAGAATATTAAAAATTATTAGCCCTTAGCTACTTAACAACTCCAGATTTCTAAACACCTCCTGAGGCGTGATATTACTCTCAGTTGACACTGTGCTCTAATCTCAGAAACCAAATAAGCTAGAATTGTGTGTTAAGATTAAGCAGCCTCTAAGCAAGTTTTTAACACCAGAAATGTTACAATAGAGCACTACAAACACCACTTCACTTTCCTATACATCTGGAAAATGTGGCTAATTTATCAGAGCAATATCTCTCCTCAGAAGCCAAATATGACTTCACTGTTCCTCTCAACATACTATTTTAAGAAGCCATTCACAATAAGTAAAATATGTCATAGGAGATGAAACTTCATTTCTAGCCTTAGTATAATGACTTCCTTTTGAATACAATTTATAAAGCCAGCTGACTTAACCTGATTTACACCTGTTGGCTAGTATCTATTCTGATTGAAATTATGTTTATTGGCCAGTGCCTATATAATACTGGCTGTTAAATAATTAAAGTATCACTCCTGCTATACTACTTATTTTATGCATGAGAAAATGGAGGCTGAAAAGTTTAAGAAACTCTCTCTGGTCACTGAGTCAGCAGCAGCATAAGCTTGGAATCTAAAACCCTGACAAGAAGCTTTGAATTATCTCTACTATATAGGTGGTATAAATAAAAATTTTAACCTAAGTCAAATAATCCTCAATTCTGAACTTCAAGATATTTAAATACAAAAATTCAGATAAGTCTAAAATTATTTTAGAAATATGGGAATTGTGAAAACGTCTTTTTAAACTACCATTACAAAGTTTGAATCTACCAAAAATGAGATATTTCTAAACTTAGGCCCAAATCAATTTTTGCCTACTTTGTATTGTCTCTCTTGGGATCTGGAGGAGGTACTAAAGGCAAGCTGATTAATTTATAGTCATTGGAATATCCTGTGGTGAACTGAACTATATTTTCCTGACTCCAACAGTTCCACTGGTTTTATACAGGTACTACCTGTATTTGATCATGTTGCAGGCTCAATAGGTTTAATGAATAATATTCTAGATTCATACAGCATGGGGAATTCATCCTCCAGAGGTGATCAGATAATAAGAATGAATTTATCTTTAGAGAAATCACATTGCCCACCATGGTCTTGGATTATGGTAGCTGCTTTCTGGCAGATAGCAAAAAATAGTTTGCTCAAGGTGAATTTAAGAAATTAAATTACTTGGGAGAGTTCAAAGGGAATAAGATAAAGTAAAATATGAACCTACAAGCTTGCTAGCATTTCAAGACTTTGAAAGAAAATGTGTTTTTAATGAGATATGATCAATATGATAGCTTAAAGTTTTAAGATAAACTCTTCTGCAAATTATGATTCTAAGAACTTCATCTGAGAAACAACAATGCATGTTTAAAGTAAGAATGTTTAGAATTATTTTTCTCTCGCAATTTTTTTTTCTGTTTACAGGTCAGAAGTGAAGACTGTTTAAAATAAGCTTGTGAGAGTATTGAATGTTGGAGATTTTAGGGAACACTTGCTAACAGATCTAAGAACAAGATAGGAGGAATCAAAATACCTATCGGGGAAGCACTTTTATTTCTACCATCATCTTTTCTTTGCTCCATATTTCTGAGCTTTATGGTTCATAAGAAAACAGCATAACTGGGTAAATGAACAAAATTCATTAAAGTGTAGATATAAATGTATAAATAAGTTCTAGGTAAACCGATTACTGATCTTAGTAATATGGACATCAATAATATGCATAAGGGGCTTCACCTGGAGCAGAGCGTATAATTAGAATATGGAGCACAGATATTCATGAGGCTGGCAGAAGGAGTTGATAGAAAATATAGAGGCAGGGGCAAAGTAAAGAAAATCTCCAACTGGAAATATTTAATGGAGGCAAAAGATAATCTCTGATACTATATGCTCTTTTTTACTTACACATATAAAACCCATATTGTTTCTGAAAGACATTTTGCACAACGTTATTTTTGTGAAAGGAAAATATCTTGGGCTCCCACAATAACAAAGCTAAAGGGAAAATTCAAGCTTGGAACTGCTTAGGGCAAACCTGCCTCCCATTCTATTCAAAGTTATCCCTTTGCTCACTGAGATAAATGCATATCTGATTGCCTCCTTTGGAAAGGCTAATCCAAAATTCCAAAAGAATGCAACTTTTGCCTCTCACCTACCTGTGACCCGGAAGCCCCCTCCCCACTTCAAGTTTTCCTGCCTTTGCTTTAAGTTATCCTGCCTTTCCAGACAGAACCAATGTGGTTTTTACATATATTGATTGATGTCTCATGTCTACCTAAAATGTAAAAAACCAAGCTGTTCTCTGACCACCTTGGGCACATGTCATCGGGACCTCCTGAGGCTGTATCATGGGCGTGTCTTCAACCTTCACAAAATAAACTTTCTAAATTAACAGAGACCTGTCTCAGATTTTCTGGGTCCACATCTTGAATTCACTCAATATTCCTGTCTCTTCATTATAATTCACGTTGTTTTTGAAATGCTTTTTCTTTAATTTATTTATTTGGGGCACTTGTAACTATACTTGTGTTTTCTAAGGTGTTGAAAGCTATTTTTTCTTATCACCCACTAATGCAAATAAACACATCTGTAATTCAGTTTGTCACAGAAAAAAATAAATTTTATTCTTCTTGGTATCTCAGGGTTGATTAAAAGTTTTTAAAGAAAATATTTATGGTCTGGACATCCGAAAGTAATGCCTCCATTAAAAGCCATACCCAACATAGGACATTTGAATTTAATTTGAATATAATTTATTTTTAAAATTAGCAAGGAGATTAATTTTAGCTACTGTGTTCTCTCAAGTATAAGGTATTTTTAATTCCACATACAACCAAATTTGATGATTTTTGTTTTGCATTGTTTACTCTCTAATTAAAAAGGAAATATCTAAAATGGGGTATTCATTCAAGTGAATATAATCACAGTTATAAATAATCAAGCTATTTTTACAATATCATAGTACTGGATTTTGCAAAATCCTCAGTTAGTGTTACAAAAATTATTAGTTGTTACATAAGAAAACATGATTAAATCCCTATGTTATATTTCTGAACTAGAACAGATTTTGTCCTTCTGTTTTCTTCTGTACTTTGATTCCTTAATGTTATAGTGATAAGCTGATACTTGAGATATCATTGTTTGAACTTGTTCTTCTATGATAACTAGCAGTATGCACAATATTTTTAAAATTAGTTAATTCCTATCTGCCTGTCCTCTAGAAAGCATGACTTCAAGGCACCCCACTTATTAATTCTATATAAAGTGCCTCCTTTTCCACTCCTGCCTATGTAACCTTGTTGTGCCTGCTCTTTCTGGGAAAACACGTATTCACTTTTTTAATCAGAAAAAGTGCCCTTATCCAATTGGGAGTTACAATTGTAATTTTAAATAAATAAGTAAAAACACCAGATTTTATTTTTATTTTTATTTTTAAGTAAATATATATATATATATTTAATCCAGTGTCACTGTATGATTTTTTTCTTTCTTTCTTTTTCTTTTTTTAAAATTATACTTAAGTTCTGGGATACATGAGCAGAACATGCAGGTTTGTTACATAGGTATATACGTGCCATAGTGGTTTGCTGCACCCATCAACCCATTACCTACATTAGGTATTTCTCTTAATGCTCTCCCTCCCCTAGCCCCCCACCCACCAACAGGCCCCAGTGTGTGATGTTCTTCTCCCTGTGCCCATGTTCTCATTGTTCAGCTCCCACTTATGAGTGAGAACATGCAGTGTTTGGTTTTCTGTTCCTGTGTTAGTTTGCTGAGAATGATGGTTTCCAGCTTCATCCATGTCCCTGCAAAGGACATGAACTTATTCTTTTTTATGGCTGCATAGTATTCCATGGTATATGTGTGCCAATTTTCTTTATCCAGTCTATCATTGATGGACATTAGGGTTGGTTCCAAGTCTTTGCTATTGAAAACACTAGATTTAAAATCAGTGATTTTGTATAAGTTATCTTTAAATAATTCCTCAATTACTAATCACCATAGGATGTACATGAATACAAACATATAAACACACACATTTTAGATTTGAAAGGTTGATTCTTATCTAGTGCTGGCTATATGCTAGATACTGCTCTAAAGTTTTACATGTAGGTACATATATTAACCCAGGTAATCTTTCCAACAACCTTATGATGCAGATACTATTAGTATTTCCATTTTACAAATGGGAAACTGAGGCATTGGGAGATTATTAACTAGTTGAAAAGCATATACTTACAAGTGATAAAACCAGAATTAGACTAAGGCAGTCTGGCTCAGAAATATAGAAACAGATCACAAGAGTCAATGAAAATAAAATAAAACTGTATAGATTTACAAACATAGGTATAGAGATAAGGTCTGATGTATTTCTCCACTTTGGTCATTCTTACTGTTTGATTTGGCATGAATTTTGTGTCTCCCCAAAAATCTTGAAATCTAATTCCCAAAGTGAGGAAGTGAGGCCTTTTGGAGATGATTAAATCATGCGAGCAGGAACCTCATGAATGGAATTTGTCCCCTTATATAAAAAAAGAAGCCCCCAAAGAGCTGCCTTGCCCCTTCTGTGATCAAGAAAGCAGGCCCTTATCAGACAGCAAATCTGCTGTCCCCTTGACCTTGAAATTCCAAGGCCCCAAAACAGTGAAAAACTAATTTCTGTTGTTTATAAGCCACCTAGTTTATGGTACAAATGAAGACATTGTTGTTTGTTTTTGTTTTTCTCATCAATAGTCCTTCCATGAAGAAGGAAAATGATGCTAAATTCTTGTAAGTGCATAAAAGTTATTGCTCAGCTTAAGTTATAAGCCTTTCTTGACATTCTCAAAGCTGTAATTTTACCAGAGTAAACCACAGAACCAAAAAGATGACAATGTGAAGTAAAGAAGATTGTCACACTCTGGAAGTATGGCCTCTCTGATAGTTGGAGAAAGAACGTGGAGATGTAGAAATAGAAACAGGAATGCCGGACGCAGTGGCTCACGCTTGTAATTCCAACACTTTGGGAGGCCAAGGTGGGTGGATCACCTGAGGTCAGGTGTTCGAGACCAGCCTGACCAACATGGGGAAACCCCGTCTCTACTAAAAATACACAAGTTAGTTGGGCATTGTGGCCCACACCTGTAGTCCCAGCTACTCGGGAGGCTGAGGAATGAGAATGGCTTGAACTTGAGAGGTGGAGGTTGCAGTGAGCCAATATTGCACCACTGCACTCCAGCCTGGGCAACAGAGTGAGACTCTGTCTTCAAAAAAAAAAAAAAAAAAAAAATAGAAACAAGGAGGAAGAAAATAATATAATATAGAATTTCAGCTGTGAATTTCCTAGGTTACGATTTAAGGTTAAAATAAAAGAAAAAGAGGCAGAGAAAGATAAATGAATAGTAGCCTACATCATTTGCCCTGCTCCCCCTCCAAACACCAAATTTTAACAACTTCACACAGAAAGCACCATCAGAAGAAATAAAAATTAGGTGAACGAGCACAGTACTTGGTTTTAACTTCATATCACTGAAAGACACACTGAAAAGAGCGGGGAAGACAATCTTAAATCACCAACATCATTTGTTTCCCATCCCATGGCAATAGCTGTGCAGTGCAGAGAACCTGTGCACTTGGCAGAGGGAGAGTGCAGCAATTGTGAGGCTTCACCTTGAACTAAGTTCTGCGCTGTCACAGGAGAAAAGAGAACTGGTCTGTACTCAACTGATATCCTCCAATGGAGGAAACAGTTGGACCAGCCCTAGTCAGAGGGGAATTGCCATCTCATCACTCAGAGTTTGAGTTCCGGCAAGCTTCACCACTGACAGCTGGAGTACCCTGGAGCTCTAAGTAAACTTGAAGCCCACAAAGACAGCAATTCCTAAGCAAGTCATAGTGCTAAGCTGGACTCAGAGGCTGTGGGCTAGGGGAACACTAATGAGAGACCAGTTAGGGTGGCTGAGGGAATGCTTGCACCATTCCTACTTCACTCAGTGGTAGTTGCCACAAGGCATAGATAAATCAGGACTCTTGGTACAGAGAGAGCACAGTGACTGGCGGACTTTGCATTGAACTCGCGGCTTCCCAGTCAAAGAAGATACCTGGCAGGATTCATCACCTCCTGACTAAAGAGACCCTGGGCCCAAAATAATCAACATCAATACCCAGTTAATATGCTATGGGCCTTGGGCTCTGAGAAGTGCTGGCTTAAGATGTAACCCAGCAGATTTACAGCAATGTTTGCTGTAATTAAAGACTCCTTTTGTTTGAGAAAAACTGGGGAAAAAGTAATGAGGACTTTGTCATGTACCTTGGGTACCACTTGAGCTATAGTAGTAGAGCACCACCACTCTTGGTGTCCCTGAGTCCAGGCCTAGACTCTCTTCATCAATGTTTATGGACATTACCTGGGCCAGAGGGGAGCCCACTGCCCTGAAGGGTAAATTCCAGGCTTGGTAGTATTCATCAAAAGGTGACTGAGAGTCTTTGGGATTTAAGTGAACATCAGCAGTGGACTGGAAGTACCCTCTGTGAATCAGTTGTGGTGCTGGCCACAGCGGGAGGCTCCTCTGCCTATGAAAAGTGGAAGAAAGAGTGAGAAGGACTTTGTCTTGTGGTTTAAGTACCAGCTTAGCTGCAGCAGAATAGAACTCCAGGTAAATTTCCAAGGCTTTTTACTTCAATACTTGGCTCCCAGACAACATCTCTAGACACAACGGTGGCCTGGAAGAACTTGCAGCCCTGATGGAAGGGACACAAACATGGCTGGCTTTACCAACTGCTAACTATAAAGCCCTAGGGCATTGAGTTAACTTAGGTGGTAGTGAGATAGTGGTTACAGGAGGCCTTGAGAGAGTCCCAGTGCTGTGTTTGCTTTAGGTCTGAACCAGCAGAGTCCCTGTGGTGGTGGCCACAGCAATGCTTATGTCCCCATATTCCCAGTTCAAGGGGGCTCAGCAGAGAGAGAGAAAAAGACACTTTGTTTTTTTGGGAGAAAATAAGGTAAGAGAACAAGAGATTCTGCATTATGGTAATCTAGAGAATTCTTCTGAATCCTTATACAATACCAGCAAGGCGGTGTCACTGTGAATGTGCAAGAACCACAGCATTATTGAGTTTGGGGCCCAAGTTTCTTCAAATACCTAGAAAGCCTTCCTAAGAAGCACAAACAAGCCCAGATTGCAAAGACTGCAATAAGTGCCTAACCCTTAAATGCTGAAACATCAATGAGCATCTACAAGCATCAAGACCAATCAAGAAAAAATGACCTCACCAGACAAACTAAATAAGGCATCAAGGACCAATACTGGAGAAACAGAGATACGTGACTTTTCAGATGGAGAATTCAAAATAGCAAATTGAGAAAACTCAAGTAAATTCAAAATAACCCAGAGAAGGAATTCAGAAATCTATCAGATAAATTTAACAAAGAGATTAAAATGTATAAATAGAATCAAGCAGAAATTCTAGAGTTGAAAAATGCAATTGACATACTGAATAATGTATCAGTCTCTTATTAACAGAATTGATCAAGCAGAAGAAAAAAATAGTGAGCTTCAAGACAGACTGTTTGAAAATACATAGTCAGAAGAGACAAAATAAAAAAAAATTAAAAGAAGCATGCCTAAAGATCTAAGATCTAAAAAATAACCTCAAAAGAGCAAATTTAAGAGTTACTGGTCTTACAGAGAAGGTAAAAAAAGAGCAGTAAAAAGCTTATTCAAAAGGATAATATCAGATAAATTCCCAAACCTAGAGAAAGACATCCATATTTAAGTACAAGAAAGTAATAGAACACAACCCAAAAAGAAATACCTCAAAGCATTTAATAATCAAACTTCCAAATGTCAAAGGTTTAAAAAAAGTCCTAAAAGCAGCAAGAGAAAAAAAATAAAACCTAATAACATACAATGGAGTTCCAATACATCTGGCAGCAGACATTTCAGTGGAAACTTTACAGGAGAGGTGAGAGTGGTATGACTTATTTAAGTGATGAAGAAAAAAAACTTTTATCCTAGAATAGTATGTCCAGCAAAAGCCTTATTCAACCATGAAAGAGAAAGAAAAACTTTTCCAGACAAAGGAAAGCTGAGGGATTTCATCAACACTAGACCAGTCCTATAAAAAATGCTAAAGGAAGTTCTGCAATCTGAAAAAAAGCATGTTCATGATCAATAAAAAATCATCTGAAGGTACAAAACTCACTGGTAATAGCACAGGGTAAAACACATAATACTATAACACTGTAATTTTGCTGTGTAAAACACTCTTACGTAGAAAGACTAAATAATGAAACAATTAAAATAATAACTGATTTTTCAAGAAACATTGCAATAAGACATAAAGAGAAAAAATAAGAAGTTAAAAACTGGAGGTGGGGATAAACTTAAAGTGTGGACTTTTTATTAGTTGTCTTCTTACTTGTTTGTTTATGCAATCAGTGTTAAATTGTCACCAGTAAAAATAATACAGTATATGCAAGCCTCATGGTAACCTCAAATTGAAAAACATACAATAGATAAACAAAATATAAACAGCAAGGAATTAAATAATACCAGCAGTGGAAATCACCTTCACTAAAAGGAAGACAGGAATAGTGAGAAGACCATAAAACATACCAGAAAACAAATAACAAAATGGAAGGAGTAAATTCTTACTTATCAATAAAAACATTAAAAGAAAACGGACTAAACATTTCAATCAAAATACAGAGATGGCTGAATGGATAAAAAAAGGAAGACAAAACAATCTGTTGCCTTCAAAAAAAACATACAATGCTTATAAAGATATACATAGGTGAAAAGTAAAGGGATGGAAAAAGATATTTCATGTCAATGGAAACAAAAAAAGAGCAGCTGTAGCTAAATGTATATCAGACAAAATAGATTTCAAGACAAAAACTGCATGAATGACAAAGAAGGTCACCACATAGCATTAAAGGAGTCAATTCAGTAGGATGACATAACAGTTGTAAATAAATATGCACCCAACACTGGAACACAGAGATATATACAGCAAATATTATAAGAGCTAAAGAGATAGACCTCAATACAATAATAGCTGGAGACTTCAAGACCTGACTTTAAGCATTGGACAGACCTTCCAGACAGAAAAAGAAAAAACAAACAAACAAAAACCATGGGACTTAATCTGCACTATAGATAAAATGAATCCAGTGGATATGTATAGAACATTTCATCCAACAGTTGCAGAATACACATTCTTCTCAGGACATGGGTTATTCTCGATAACATGGTAGGTCACAATGCAAGTTTTAAAAGATTCAAAAAATTAAAATAATATCAAGTATTTTATCTGACCACAATGAAATAAACCTACAAATCAATAAGAAATATTGAAAACTATACAAACACATGGAAATTACACAAGACGTTCCCGAATGGTCAATGGGCCAATAAAGAAATTAAGAAGAAAATTGAAAAATTTGTTGAAACAAATGATAATGAAAACACATTCCAAAAGCTATGAGATAAAATGAAAGCAATAAGGGAAATTTATAGTGATAAATACCTACATCAAAAAAAGAAGAAAAACTTCAAATAAATAATTTAACAATTCATGTTAAAAACCTAGAAAAGAAAAAGCAAGCCAAAACCAAATTTAGGAAAAGAGAAATAACAATAAAAATAGGAGCAAAAATAAATAAATTCAACATGAAGAAAACAATACAAAAGATAAAATGAAAAGTTGGTCTTTGAATAGATAAATACAATTGACAAATCTTTAGCCCAACTAAGAAAAACAAGAAAAGGCACAAGTAAATAAAATTAGAGATGTAAAAAATAGCCATTACAACTGAAATCAAAGGATCATTATGGCTACTATGAGCAACTGTATGCCAACAAATTGGAAAATCTAGAGGAAATGGGTAAATTCCTGGACACATATGATCTACTAAGTTTGAACCATGAAGAAATCCAAATCCTGAACAGACCAACAAGTAACAAGATTGATGCCATAATAAAATGGCTTCCAGTAAATAAAAGCCCCAGACCTGATGGCTTCACTGCTGAATTTAACAAACATTTAAAGAATATCAATCCTACTCAAATTATTCTAAAAATATAGAGGAGAAGGGAGTACTTCCAAACTTATTCTATGAAGACAGTACCACACAGATACCAAAATCAGTCAAAGACATATCAAAAAACAGAAAGGTACAGGCCAATATCTCTGATGATTATTGATGTAAAAATCCTCGACAAATTACTAATAAACCAATCCGATAATACATTAAAAATCATTCAAATGACCAAGTGAGATTTATGCCAGAGATGCAAGGGTCGTTCAACATATACAAATTGATCAATATAATGTGTCATTATCAACAGAAAGACAAAAACCATATGATCATTTTAATTAATATTGAAAATGCATTTGATAAGTTCAAAATTCCTTCATGATAAACGCCATCAGAAAACTAGGTATAGAGGAAACATACATCAACATAATAAAAGCCATATATAACAGACCCACAGCTAGTATAATACTGAATGGGAAAAAAGTGAAAGCCTTTCCTTTAAGACCTGGAGCATGCCAAAGATGCCCACTTTCACAACTGTTATTCAACACACTATCAGAAGTCTTAGCTAGAGCAATCAGAAAAGATAAAGAAATAAAGAACATCCAAATTAGAAAGGAAGAAGTAAAAGTAGTATATTTATTTGCAGATGATATGGAGTTATATTTGGAAAAACCTAAAGGCTCCAACAAAAAGCTATTAGAACTTATAAACAAATTCAGTGAAGTTGCAGGATACAAAATTTACATGTAAACTTAATAGCATTTCTTATGTGAACAGTAAACAATCTAAAACAGAAATCAAGAAAGTAATCTCACTTATAATAGCTACAGATAAAGTTACATACCTAGAAAATAACCAAAGAAGGAAAAGATCTTTACAATAAAAATTGTAAAATGCTGAGGAAATAAATTGGAGAGGATACAAAAACATGCAAAGATATTCCATGTTCATGAATTGGAAGAATCAATATTGTTAAAATGTCCATACTGCACAAGGCAATCTACAGATTCAATGCAATCCCTATCAAATTACCAATGATATTCTTCACAGAAACATAAACAATGAATCCTACAATTTATATGGATCCACAAGATTTATATTAGCCAAAAGTATCCTGAGCATAAAGAACAAAACTGGAGGAATCGCATAACCTGACTTTAAATTGTACTATAGAGCTATAGCAATGAAAATAGCATGGTATTTGCATAAAAAAAGAAACATAGGTCAATACAACATAATAGAGAACCGAGAAAGAAATCCATAGACCTAGAGTGAACTAATTTTCCACAAATATGCCAAGGACATACATTGGAGAAATGACAGTCTCTTCTATAAATCGTGCTGGAAAACGTGATATCCATATGCAGAAGAATAAAACTTGACCCCTATCTTGCAGCTTATACAAAAATAAAATCAAAATGCATTAAATACTTAAATCTAAGACCTCAAACTATAAAACTAGTACAAGAAAACTTTGGAGAAACTCTCTAGGACATTGGACTGGGCAAAAATTTCTTGAACAATACCCCACAAGCACATGCAACCAATGCAAAAATTGATAAATGGGATCACGTCAAGTTAAAAAGCTACTGCACAGCAAAGGAAGCAATCAACAAAATGAAGAGAAAACCCACAGAATGGGAAAAAGTATTTGCAAACTACTCATCTGACAAGAGATTAAAAACCAGAATATAAAAGGAACATAAGCAACTCTAGGAAAAAAATCTAATAATCTGACTTTTAAAATGGGCAAACAATTTGAATAGACATTTCTCAAAAGAAGGTATACAAATGTGAAACAAGCATATGAAAAGGTGTTCAACATTATTGATAATCAAAGACGTGCAATTCAAAACTACAATGAAATATCGCATTCCAATTAAAATGACCTTTATCCAAAAGACAGTCAGCAATATATGCTGAAGAGGATCTGGAGGAAAGGGAATGCTTGTACATTGTTTGTGGGAATAAATTAGTAAAACCACTATGGAGAATGATTTGGAGGTTTTTCAAAGAACTAAAAATAGAACTACTATAATGTCCAGCAATCCCATTGATGGGTATATACCTAGAAGAAAGAAAAATCAATATCTAGAAGAGATATCTGTACTCTCATGTCTGTTGCAGCACTGTTCTCAATACCCAGAATTTGGAAGAAACCTAAATATTCATCATCAAATAATTTGATAAAGAATATACAGTACCTACACACAATGGAGTACTATGTAGCTGTAAAAAATAATGTGATTCTGTCATTTGCAACAACATGGATGGAACTGGAGGTCATTGTGTAAAGTGAAATAAGTGAAGCACATGAAGACAAAACTTTGCATGTACTCACTTATTTGTGGGAGCTAAAAATCAAAACAATTGAACTCATGGAGATAGAGAGTATAATGATGTTTATTAGAAGCTGGGAATGGTATTGGGAGTCTTGGGGAGAAGTGGAAATGGTTAATGGGAACAAAAAATAGAATTAGAAACAGAAAATAAGACCTAGTATTTGATAACAAAACAGGATGACTATAGTCAATAATAATCCAGTTGTATATTTAAAAATAAGTAAAGGGTATAATTGGATTGTTGTAATACAAAGAATAAATGCTTGAGGGGCTGGATACCCCATTATCCATGATGTGATTATTGCTTATTGCATGACTGTATCAAAGTATCTCATGTACCCTTTAAATATTTGCAGCTACTATAACTGTGTATGCACACAATAAAAATAAAACAAAAAGAAATAAAAAGCAAAAGTTAATATAAAGGTACACAAATGGGTTTTGAAAATATAATAAAATTCAGCTCTTCTGCCCACATCATGAGTATTCTGGAAGCCTGTGTTTGACACTGTTGAATTCAATATGGCGCAGACACAGTAGTGTAGCTAGAGCTGAGACAAGGGTCTAGGTTCACAGATCTCAGCGAAAGCCTCAAGCTCCTACCTGATGCAAAGAAAGCAGCCAAAAAGTCCTCATTTTCTAAGACAGCTGCCAAGATTACTAAAAGGGTGAGCATTATAGCTTTGCCTTGGCCCATAGCAAGGTAGAAGCAGGGGGGCTCAAGTAAACTAAAAACAATACAGTGAGTACAGAGAGATGATATCAAATGACTCTTCCATAATTCTATGAGAATATATAAACTGCTCTTGTTCTCAGATGCTATCTTAAAAGAAACAATTGCAGGTTTCTGCAAATGGTTCTTATTCTTTGAATGGAACCATTCAAAGAACCATTTCATCTTATTCAAAGAATAAGAAACCCCAAAGGCTAGATCTTATCATCAAATAAATAAGGTTTGATCTACACCGTGCTTGTGATAATATTTGAATTTTGAAAAAAAAAAAAGACTAGATCAAATTCAATATGACAAATTGGGGTAGGATACAATGCTTTTGGAGACTAGCAGCTTGACAGATTTTTTTCTTCAGTTACATAAAATAAAGAAATGTTTATTAAGTTTTATTCATCAAGTTTAGAACATTTGAATTTCAATTAAGCCCCTATATGGAAAATCAGGCATTCAAGAAAAAAGCCATACAACACATGCTGTTTAGATATATTTTTCTGCATACTCTGGAGTGACTTAGGCTTTTTAAAATAAGACTCTAGTGTAGCTGTGCTAAGAATATGCTTTTTATCCCTGGTTAATATCCTTGCAGCAAATCTTTATTACACTAAAGACCTGTGAATTGAGTTCAATACGGGAGGAGAAGTTTCAGCAGAATGTTTCTTCAATAAGTCCTTGCTGTTTTATTTCAAAACCAATCACCTCATTTACTGCAGATCAAGTCAGGCTTCTCAGTTTCGGCTATTTACTTAATGAAGCATTGTCATGTGTTGGCACTGGTCACTAGCATGCAGTCGGACATATGAGTTTTCAGCATGACTACAGAGTGACAAATCAGGCCTTTGTAAATATTTCCTGTATCCCTAATTAGATATGAGGATTAAAGGAGAGGGAGTAATCAAAAAATGGCTTTGGAGTTTGAGGCCCCAAAATTTGGGAAAATAATTGTGGAAGTAACAAAAATGAGAAAGGTGGGAAAGGAAGCACTGTGACTAACCTACAACAAACAGGTAAACCTCAAGATTTTTGAGAGCAATAAAGAATGTTTTCCTTAGAAGAAACATATATGCCTTCCGGACTCATGAGGTAGTCCTTTGTAGACACTTACGCCAGCAGCTCTCCATTGAACTCATATATTATCATACCTTTTCTCCCACCAGACCTGTATTCTTCAACAGAGGTATGGGTACACCTACAATTTTGGAATGACCTGGTCTTTTGCTGTTTAAGTGATACCTTCCATTTTTCTTGTTGTTAGACAGTATTAAATTAAAGCCAAGTGAGATGTAAAACTTGCCAGATGTTGTTGTATATTAGTTTGTGCTCTCTCAGGAGCGCATAGGTTCTAGTGATAATCACACTATTTTCTGTGAAAATTGTCCTTAAAATTTTGACTGAATAGATTGTGTTTCTCCCCATTTTTCCTAGATATAAAAAGCAGCATAATCCTTTGATGAAATGACCATTATTAACTAGATACTGGCTAATTAGGGCCTTGAGCGTATCTGCGGGATACGCGATACTGATAAAAATATAGTTGAGAACAGTGAAGGAGTATATGGTACTTTTGGCATTGCTTCTTCTGATGTTATCCCCAATTTCTTCAAAATGATTGTCTAGCTCAGACATGTCCTTATTTTCACAAATGCACTTCTCTAAAAGAATAGATGGTTTATCAATAGATGAAGTATTTTTGTCTTCCCTGACATTTTTCTAAAAGAATATTGAATCATGGGCAGGGCATGGTGGCTCATGCCTTTAATCCCAGCATTTTGGAGGCTGAGGTGGGCAGATCACTTGAGCTCAGGAGTTCGAGATCAGCCTGGGCAACGTGGTGAAACCTTGTCTTTATAAAAAATACAAATAATTAACCTGGCGTGGCTGCGCCTGTAGTCCCAACTACTCAGGAGACTGAGGTGGGAGGAGCAGTTGAGCCTGGGAGGCAGAGGTTTCAGTGAACCAAGATTGCACCACTGCATTCCAGCCCAGGTGACAGAGCAAGAACCCTGTCTCAGCAAAAAAAAAAAAAAAAAAAAAAAAAAAAAATTGGAGTCTGTGGCTAACTATGTTCCTTAAAGTCCTGAAATTGGGCAGCAGCCAAGATATTTTGTGAGGTGTTTGCCCTCAGCTTCTTGTTTATTCTGTTTTCCTTTATTTGGAAAAAAATTATATATATATATATATATTCCAAATAAAACCGAATAAGCAAGAATAATATACAACAATATACAATTTATATATATATATAAATTGTATATTGTTATACATGTATTTATATGTATATAAAGTAATATTCTTGTTACTCCTAGGGATGCCATTCTCTTTGAACTATCTCTACTATCACCTCATCTCTATTACTTGTGGGTGGAAGGAGTGAAAGACATCATCCCCATGGATATTAATGAGCCCAGCTCTGTGACTACCTATCCTACATTGAGCCCCAGCCTGCAGAGGAGATCCACCCCTCAAGTTCTTAGGAAAGCTAGTGCCTCTCTCCTCAGTGCATACTCAGTGGCTTCAATGAATGGTGTGTCCTCTGGGTCCTCCAGTGGAATATAATACTCTGCTAGGTCTTCTGGCTTCACATAATGTATCTATTCCAAACTTTCCATCTCCATAGGCTCTTTAGTTCTTCCTTTACCACATGCCAGCACAAATCAGACATTTCCACTTCACTCAGCATGGATGACCACTTTCTTTAATTTTCTAGGGACTATCTTAGCTGTATGTTTGCCTTACTAGGGAACCTGACAGGCAATAAATTCTGTATCTTGAGAGAGGTCCTCAAAGTCAATAGCCTTATTTATCTAGTCTTATAATCTGTCCCCACTGATCAAGCACTCTAAAAATCTAAATCTATGTGTATCCCCATGGAATGTCAATAGTAGATTTATGCTGTGGATCATCCCTAATACTTGACCTGGCATCTACAAAAGATCTAGGTGCAGTTTTGGAGGGGAACTGTATCCTTCCAGGGAAAACAGCTCTGTAGTATCTTCCCAGATGGTGGGAATTGTAGTCCTTATGAAAATCAGTGTCACTGTTGTGGGTCCTGAGGAACAGAGGTGCCTAAGCAGTAAAATTCTTCATGGCTAGCTACTCAGTTGCCCCAATACAATGAGTCCTGGTCTCAGATTTTCTCAAGAAGTCTCCAGACTTTGACATAACAGAACTCAGTTATGTATTTAGTAACCATTTTAGCTTTGTTACTGTAACTATTATACCTGAGCTTTGTTTGTAGTTTTTCTGTTTTTCCTCTATGGAGATAAGGGCCACTTGGTGAACTGCCAAAAAGGCCCTTTGGTCTTTAGATTTAATTTTTAATTGTATATTAACTACTCTTGTAGAGCATCAATGCAACCAACAAATTCTACTGTACTTTTACACATAATTTCCCCAACATCTTTACTTTTCAAGAGGCTGAATCATCACATAGGTGAAGACAATTTCATCCACTGGAAACTTTCTCCCAATTCACCACTGGTGAATGTCTGAGAAACTGAGCCATCGTCTTGTGTTAGTGACTCCATGCCTCACATACCTCCTGGAATAAGGTACTAATTGTCAATTCTCATCTTATCAACTGCTTTTTTAGTTCACTTCAGTCACCAATTTTGTCTGTCAGTTACCCTGTAAGGCAGATGCTGAGGTAGATTTGGAGTGTCAAAGTGAAATTTGGGGGTGTGGGGTAGCAATGTCTGGTGTGATACAATGGGAAGGAAGCAAAATACAATATTCTTATGATTGCATGTGGATGGAATATGCATGGAGGGAAAGGCAGGAGGAAGCAAAATTGGGTAGATACTCTTCAGACTCTGGTGAAAGGTTTTGACCAAACCTATAGAGTGACCTGCAGCAAATACTGCCCCTTAATGAAGCATCTCATCAGGCAGATATACCTAGGCCCTAGACCGGTCATGCTCAGTTATTGCTTGGGGGCTGCCTGGAAAGAGGAAAGGCATGGCTCAAACGCTAAGCACATCCAGAAGACACTGACAAGCAGAGGCTGTCAGAAAAAGGCACTTTTGTAACTGAATTGCAAATCTCTTCTTGAACAGTTTGAACTGTGCACATCCATGATTTTTTTTTTTAGTGTGCTCAATTAATGAGGCCTCAGCAGCAAAAAAAGGTAGAAGAGAAAACATGCTCACAGAATAGTTGAGTGAGAACTAAACATTAGGAAAAAATAATATTAGAGATAGGAGATAGAAGGCAAATGAAATGTATAATACTAATAATAAAGAAGCCATGGAAATATAGATAATAATATTGTGTTATATTTTAGCTATTTTCTATGTGCTTTCTATTTTCTCATTTAACGCAATGATCACTGGATATAGAGAAAATAGGCAACCTGATCAAGGTCACAAAATTAAGGAGTGATTGCTCCAGGATTCAAACTAAACAGTCTAACTCCACATCACATGTCCTAACCAGTAGGTGATACTCTCAATGTATATTTTCATATATGAAAAAAAATGTTTGCTTTTTAAATTCTTGTTGTAAATATATTTGCATATATATATATAATGTATATATGATTACCAGTCTAGAAATATCAACATATATAAAAGCATCACAACTTTCAAATTTTATATTTCCACATGAAGAATAGTCATATTGGGGTCATCAGCTTTCATAGAAAATATAATAAGCCTATTAAAAGTGATCTTATTTATTTATAGAAAAAATACACATTTAATAGATTTTTCTTGAACTTTGGATAAAAACAGTTTTCTATCTCTTTCATTATTACTGAAACTATCCAGAAATCTTCTAGATATTCTTTGGAAATAGCAGTTCTACAGAAATATTTTATCTACACTATATCTAGCTATTAAAATCTTTCCAAAATCCAAAAGTGATTCTTCACAAATTACTACCAAATACTTTCAATTTTCTTTCTGGAGGTCATAGAAACACTATGAAATACAAATAAGGTTTTCTGAATGTTTTCACTTAATCCATCAAGATGTATTGCTTAGCAAAAAATGCAATGTTTTCAAAATACTTTTAATTGAACCAGAAACACAAACACAGCTTACATGTTGTAAAATGTATACAAGCCTGAGCTATGTAAATATTATTATCTAATCCAAAATTTCCTCCTCTTCCCACCATCTGCAAGTTATGTTATAGTAAAGCACCAAGAAAAGCGTGTTAACTTGGAGTGTTAATTCTTGCTTTGTTTCTGTCTAATAAACTCTTTTAAAAAATAGAAAAACATAGAGCTAAAGAGAAGACATATGAAGTATCTCCAAGCATTCAAAACAGACTTTTATCCACTTGTGTTGGAGGGTACCTTATAGCATATCAGTAATGCAGATTTTCCTTTAAATAAGAAACACATAAGTGCATAAAATATGCCTTATAAAGCATTTTACATCAAGCTTGTATCTCTTTTGATGCCCATTATATAAGTTAAAGTACATCTTAAAGGCCTTTTTAAAAGATAAGAAAAATATTAGTTATCTCTTTTTTCAACTAGTTGGGACAGTTACTCCAGTCCATCCTCTCACATGTCAATTTATCCTGTGGAAGTTGGGCAAAAGTATCACACCTGAGATTATCCAATGACCATTGCCTATAATGAGGCAGATAACTTCTTGATAACTAAATGTAATTACTTCTTTAGTTAAGGCATTGCAAAATGGCCATAAAATGGATTATATATAGCCCAGTGATTGAATGCTAATCTTGGAAAAAGAGGCGAAGTATCTGGGCATATGTTATGCTTGAGGGTGATAATTTAGCGTGTATTGTTAAATTCAAAGACTTATGTTAACTGCATGGCTTCTCAACATTTGAGCTTTAAATATCTGTTTTAATTTTATAAGCAAAAATAGTAGGAGGAAGAGAAATGGGATAAATAGACTCAAAAGAGACAAACTGAAATTATTTTACAAGTAGCATAAGACAATAATATAAATTCAAGAGGAATCATGGGGGAAATTGAGAAAAGGAACCAATGGAGATACCAAACTATAATATTTAGAACAAGAGTATCTGAGGGCAAAGTTATTTAGTAGTACATCAAATCAACTCGTTTCATATTTTATAGTGATTGCCTTTTTGTGTGAAGTGAGTTTATTGGTGATGTCATAAGAATAGCATGACCACTTACTAAAATTCTTAAATTTAGAAAAATAATGGAGCAAAAATGACACTGGAGGAAAATTCTATTATGTAATACATTTGGATGAGTATGTTCAGTTTTATATACATTACTTTCTAATGCAGGGTGAGTAAATACACCATATGTATTACTCCCTATTTTGAACAAATGACAGATATACCAATCAATTATGACCATTTTTCTCACTAAAATCGAAAGCAATGTCTTAATTATTTTTATGAGAACCGGTTTGAGAAATAAAGGTACAGAGTACAAAAGAGAGAAATTTTAAAGCTGGGCATTCGGGGGAGACATCACATGTCGGTAGGTTCCGTGATGCCCCACAAGCCACAAAAACCAGCAAGTTTTTATTAGGGATTTTCAAAAGGGGAGGGAGTGTACGAATAGGGTGTTGGTCACAAAGATCATGTACTTTACAAGGTAATAGAATATCATAAGGCAAATGGAGGCAGGGCGAGATCACAGGACCAGAGGACTGGGGCGAAATTAAAATTGCTAATGAAGTTTTGGGCACCATTGTCATTGATAACATCTGTATCAGGAGACAGGGTTTTGAGAGCAACCGGTCTGACCAAAATTTATTAGGCGGGAATTTCCTCTTCCTAATAAGCCTGGGAGCACTATGGGAGACTGGGGTCTATTTCACCCCTACAGTCTACAGACCATAGAAGATGGCCACACCCAGGGGGCCGTCTATAGACCTACCCCCAGGCATGTATTCTCTTTCCCAGGGATGTTCCTTGCTGAGAAAAAGAATTCAGCGATATTTCTCCCATTTGCTTTTGAAAGAAGAGAAATATGGCTCTGTTCTACTCGGCTCACTGGCGGTCAGAGTTTAAGGTTATCTCTCTTGTTTCCTAAATATTGCTGTTATCCTGTTCTTTTTTAAAGGTGCCCAGATTTCATATTGTTCAAACACACATGCTCTACAATTTGTTCAGTTAATGCAATTATCACAGGGTCCTGAGGTGACATACATCCTCCTCGGCTTTTGAGATGACAGGATTAAGAGATTAAAGTAAAGACAGGCCTAGGAAATCACAAGGGTATTGATTGGGGAAGGGATAAGTGTCCATGAAATCTTCCCAATTTATGTTTAGAGATTGCAGTAAAGACAGGCATAAGAAATTATAAAAGCATTAATTTGGGGAACTAATAAATGTCCATGAAATCTTCACAATCCACATTATTCTGCCATGGCTTCAGCCAGTCCCTCCGTTTGGGGTCCCTGACTTCCCGCAACAATATCACAACTAAAGGACTAAAAGAATCAACAGCAGATCAACCCCAAAGCCAGAAGAAGATGACAAATAACCAACATCAGAGCCAAACTGCAGGAAATTTAGACATGAAAAACCATATGAAAGATTAATGAATTAGGAGTTTATTCTTTGAAAAATCAATAAAATAGACCACTAGCAAGAGTAATAAATAAAAAAGAGAGATATTACAAATAAATACAATTTGAAATGCCAAAGAGGACATTAAGAATTACAAAGAACCCTCAGAAACTACTACGAACATCTATATGCACACAAACAAGAAAACCTAGAAAAAATAAATTAATTCTTGGACACGTACAAATTCTCAAGATTGAACCAGAAAGAAATTTAATTTCTGAACAGACCAATAACAAGTTTCAAAATTGAATCAGTGGTAAAAAGCCTACCAACCAGAAAAAGCCCATGACCAGATGGATTCACAGCCAAATTCAACCAAATATATAAAGAATTGATAACATTTCCTACTAAAATTATAAAACGTTTACAAGCAGGTACTCCTCCCCAATTCTTTCTATGAGGCCACCATCATTCTGATAGTAAAACCTGGCAGAGACCAAACAAACAAAAATGTCAGGCCAATATCCTTTATGATCAAAGATACAAAAATCCTCAAAAAAATACCTGCAAATTGAATCCAGCAGCACAAGAAAAACAAGTCCACAAAGATAAAGTAGGCTTTATACCTGGGATGTGAGGTTGATTCAACATACACAAATCAATAAATGTGATTCATCACATAAACAGAACTAAAAATAAAAACCACATGATCACCTAAATAGATGAAAAGTCTTTCAATAACATTGAGAATCTATTTATATTAAAAACTCTCAAATTTGGCATTAAAGGAACATACTTCAAAATATAAAAAGCCATCTATGACAAACCCACACACAACATTATATTGAATGGAAAAAAGTTGGAAGCGTTCCTCTTGAAAACAAAAAAAAGGATAAGGATGGCTTCTGTCACCACTCCTATTCAGCATAATACTGAAAGTCCCTTCCAGAGCAATCAGGAAAGATAAAGAAACAAATGGCACCCAAATAGGAAAATAAAAAGCCAGATTATCCTCATTTGAAGATGACATCACTCTATATCCAGAAAATCCCATAGTCTTGGTTCAAAAGCTCCATCAGGTGAGAAACAACTTCAGCAAAGTTTCAGGATATAAAATCAGTGCACAAAAATTAGTAGCATTTGTGAACACCAACAACATACAAGCTGAGACTCAGATCAGGAATGTAATTTCATTCAAAATTGCCATAGAAAGAACTAAATACCTGGGAATACAGCTAACCAGGGAGGCAAATTATGTCTACAAAAAGAACTACAAAACACTGCTCTGAGAAATAAGAAACTGCACAAACAAATGAAAACACATTCCAGTCTCATGTGAGGAAAGAATCAATATTGTTAAAATGACAATATTGCCCAAAGCGATTATAGTTTTAATGCTATTCCCATCAAACCACCAATGATGTTCTGCACAGAATTAGCAAAAATGCATTTTAAAAATTATATGGAACAAAAAAAGCCTGAATAGCCAAGGCAATCCTAAGCAAAAAACAAAACAAAAAGAAACAAACAAACAAAGCTGGAGACATTATCTTACTTGACTTCAAACTATATTAGAAGGCTACAATAAGCAAAAGAGACTAGTACCAAAATATACACATAGACAAATGGAGCAGAATAGAGAGCCTAGAAATAATGCTGCATACCTACAATCATCTGATCTTTGACAACGTTCATCAAAGCAAGCAATAGAGAAAGGACTCCCTATACAATAAATGGTCCTGGGATAACTGGCTAGCCATATGCAAAAGATTAAAATGACCCCTGTCTTACATTACATATAAGAATAAATTCAAGATCGATTAAATACTTAAACATAAAACCTAAAACGAAAATCTCTGGAAGATAACCTAAGAAATACCATTCTGGACATAGGAACTGATAAAGATTTTATGAAGAATTTACCAAAAGCAATTGGAACAAAAGCAAAAATTGACAAAAAGGACTTAACTCAATTAAAGAGCTTCTGCACAGCAAAAGATACTATCAACAGCATAAACAAACAACCTACGCAATGGGAAAAAATATTTTCAAATTATGCATCCAGAAAACATCTAAATTCCAGAATCCATAAGACACTTATACAAATTTATAAGCCAAAAAACAACAACAACAACAAAAACAAAAAACAAATCACCCCATTAAAAAGTGGGCGGCCGGGCGCGGTGGCTCACGCCTGTAATACCAGCACTTTAGGAGACCGAGATGGGCAGATCATGAGATCAGGAGATGGAGACTATCCTGGCTAACACGGGGAAACCCCCGTCTCTACTAAAAATACAAAAAATTAGCCAGGCGTGGTGGTGGGTGCCTGTAGTCCCAGCTACTCAGGAGGCTGAGACAGGAGAAGGTCGTGAACCTGGGAGGCAGAGCTTGCAGTGAGCCGAGATCGCACCACTGCACTCCAGCCTGGGCGACAGAGCGAGACTCTGTCTCAAAAATAAAATAAAATAAAATAATAATAATAATAAAAAAAATAAATAAAAAATAAAAAGTGGGCAAAAGACATGATCAGACACTTTTCAAATGAAGATATATGTGTGGCCAACAAGCGTATGAAAAAAATACTCAACATCACTAGTCATTAGATAAATGCAAATCAAAAGCAAAAAGAGATACTAACACCAGTCAGAACGGCAATTATTTTTTTAAAGTTAAAATATAACAGATGCTGATGAAGTTGTGAAGAAAGTGGCATGCTTTTACACTGCTGGTGGGACTGTAAATTAGTACAGTCATTGTGGAAACCTGCATAACAATTCCTCAGATGACTTGAAACACAATCACCGTTCAACCCAGCAATGCCATTTTGGGTATATACCTAAAATAATATAAATTGTGCTACCATAAAGACATATGAACATGTATGTTCATTGCAGCAATATTTACAATAGCAAAGATATGGAATCAACCTAAATACCTATCTGCAGTAAACTAAATTAAAAAAATATGGTCCATATGCACCATTGGATACTACACAGCCAGAAAAAAATTAGATTATGTTCTTTGCAACAACATGGATGGAGCTAAAGGCCATTATCCTAAGCAAACTCACACAATAGCAGAAAACCAAATACCACACATTCTCAAGTAGGAGCTAATCAATGAGAACACATGAACACAAAGAGGGGAACAACACATACTGGGGCCCACTTGAAAGTGGAAGGTGGGAAGAGGGAGAGAATCAGAAAAATTACCTATTGGGTACTATGCTTATTACCTGGGTGTTAAAATAATCTCTACACCAAGCCCCAATGACATGCAGTTTACCTATATAACAAAACTGCATATGTATCCCTAAACCTAAAATGAAACTTATAATTTTAAAAAGTGCAACATGGGGAGACCTTCTGAATACATGATGTCTCTCAGTAGAGATCCTCAAGTGTTGTTCCTTAGAAGTAAAACTACGTTGGGCCTAAAGTAAATTCCTCCACAGCAGACCCGAGTTACATAAACTCTTAAAGGACATTCTTTAGACTGAATAAAAATGACACCAGATGGAAGCTTTTATCCGCTCTAAAAAATGAATGGTGTTGAAAAAAATAAATTTGTGGGTCCATACAAAAGATATATTTTCTCATTGAACAATTTTTAAAATAAAATTACCCAAAGCACAAAACATTAGCAATGTATTGTGTATTTTATAGCATATGTGGTAATAAATTCCATGACAATAATAACACAATAGTCAGAAGAGGGCAAATGAAAATAAAGTGTTAAACAGTCAGATATTATACATAAAGAATAAAGTAAAATCTGTATGTTAATTTATATTATATTTATATTATAAATGCAAGATTGGTCACTAAAAATAAGCAGGAGGCAAATAATGGTGGTTAAATTAAAATACTGAAAACTACTTAATTCAAAGGAAGGCAGGAAAATAGAAAAATGCAGAAAGAACAGACGGGATAAATAGAACACAAATAACTAAATGATTAATTTCAATCTATACATGTCAGTAAGTATATTAAATGTAAACTCTATAAACACATCTATGAAAAGTCAGGATTAACAGACTGTTAGAAAAAGTAACACTTGACTATATATTGTTTACAAGGAATTGACTCTAACCAGTAATAGATTTGCTTAAAACCAAAAAACATAGAAAATGATAAATAAGACAAACCCTAAGCATAAGAAAGCTGTAATGTTGATATAAAAATGAAATGTTTAGACCTCAGAATAAGAAATAACTCCAGTAGTAAACAGCGTCATTTCATATAATGAAAAAGTCAACCAGGGTCATTTCATATAATGAAAAAGTCAACCAGTCAAGAAGTCATGAAAATCCTAATGTGTCTGCACAATATACAGTTTCAAAATTACTAATATAAAGCCTGATTAAAACTAAAAGGAGAAAGGGACAAAATCACTGTAATATTGAAAATTCAAATGCTATTCTTTGGGTACTGGATAGGAACAAGTATACAGAAAGATCAGTAAGAATACAAAACACCTGAACAACATTATCAACCATGAAAGACTAATTGACATTTATAGGACACTCCATCCAACAACAACAAAGTACAGTGCGTATCCTTTTAACTTTCATAGGAAATATTCACGAAAATAGATTATATACTGGATATTAAACAAAGTCCAGTGTATGTTAAAGGATTGAAATCATACAGATTCTTTTACTACAATGCAGTCAAATTGGAAACAATAAAAACTATCTGATAAAAATGCCAAATAATAGGAAATTAAATAATAATGTTTTAATTCCATGGATCAAAGAGGAAATTATAAGTAAAATTATAAAAAATCTCAAATTAAATGGAAATAAAAACATAACATAAAAATATGTATGGAAATGCTGCTACAGCAATGATTATAGGGAAAATAGTGGCATTCAATGCTGTATTAGAAATTTTAAAAAATCTTAAGTAATCTGTTTCCACCCCAACAAAACCTAAAAATTATCACATTAAATCCAAAATAAGCAGAAGTAGAGTTTCTGCTGAGAGATCCACTGTTAGTAAGGAAATAATATATAACGAGCATAAAATGAAAAATTGAAAAATAAAGTAAAGCAAATGTGAAACCAAAAGATGGCTTTGTTTTAAAAAAAGCAGACAAGCGTGGTGGCTCATGCCTGTAATCCCATCACGTTGGGAGGCCAAGGCAGGAGGATCTCCTGAGGTCAGGAGTTCGAGACCAGCCTGGCCAACATGGCAAAACCCTATCTCTACTAAAAATACAAAAATTAGCTGGCGTGGTGGCATGTCACTGTAATCTCAGCTAATCGGGAGGCTGAGGCAAGAGAATCACTTGAACCCAGGAGTCAGAGGTTGCAGTGAGCAGAGATCGCGCCATTGCACTCCAGCCTGGGAAACAAGAGTGAAACGCCATCTCAAAATAAATAAATTAAATAAATAAATAAATAAATAAATAAGCAGTAAAAATTGATACAGTCTACCTTTGCTGATTAAGAGAAAAATGGGAGAAACACACATAATTAACATCACAAGTGAAAGAATAAACGTACAGGTTCTACAGACATTAAAAAAACACAAATAAAAATAATTTAAACCACTAAATTTTACCACTCAGATGATATGGAGAATTTTTTGAAAGACACAGAATGCCAAAATACACTGAAGAAGTAATCAAATTTCTTAATAGACTTATAGCTATTAAAATGAATTATTTAAAACATTCTTACAAATTAAACTTGAAGCCCAACCTATTTCACTGTTGAATTCTATGAAATATTTAAGAAAAAAATAATATAAATGCTAAGAAAACTACTTTGGAAAATAGAGGGGGAAACATTTTCCAATTATTTTTATAAGGCCAGCATTATCCAGATATCAAAACCAGACATATATATTCTAAACAAAAACAACAGCAAAAACTGTATACAACTGTTGTTCATTAGTATTGATGCAATTTTTAACAAAATATTATCAAATTTAAACAAGCAAAGTTAAAGTGATAATGCAGCATTAAAAAGTGGGGTTTATATGAGAAATTCCAGGTTAACATTCAAATGTCAATCAATTTAATTTACCATGTTTAAATAATAAAAAAGGAATACCATATATTCTTCTCTAAACATGCAGAAAAGCATTGAACAACAACCATTACCCATTTATAATAAAACAGATGTATGTCAGTAAAGTAGAAATGTGTGATAATATTATCATCCTTTTTATAAATGAATATCAATCATGGTATAATTATATTTTATTTGAAAAAGCTGCTGAAAAAGCCAAATCAGCTATTTCAGTCTGTAACTTGCTTTTCATAAGGTAATGCACTGTGTGTGTTTATAATCTATTATTTCAAATTATTTTCACTGGCTATTTAAAAATTCTAAACACTTTAAATAATCTATTCAATAATCACTTGATATAAAACATGCTATGTAAATTTAGTTTTAAAATAATATTAATAATATGTGGTTAGTCAGCTTGTTCTGTCAATATCACTTTAAGATATTAATATTATCCACAATTTGACTAAGTTTAAAGAGAAATCAAATAGTATGTATATTGTCATTAAAAATTTACTTTCACAGTTTAATTCACAAATCAAGGAAAACAGGATATAGTATTTTAAACTATCAACTGAATACATACATCTGTTGTTAAGCCACAAAAGTCTCTATCAAAACAATTTCTGAATTTTCCTTTTTTTAAAAAATTATATTTTATTTTAAGTTCCAGGATACATGTGCAAGACATGCAGGTTTTTTGCATAGGTAAACCTGTGCCATGGTGGTTTGCTGTACCTGTCAACCCATCACCTAGGTATTAAGCCCTGCATGCATTAGCTATTTATTCTGATGCTCTCTTTTCCCCAGCCCTCCCGACAGGACCCAGTGTGTAATTGTTCCACTCTTTGTGTCCATGTGTTCTCATTGTTCAGCTCCCACTAATAAGTGAGAACATGGGGTGTTTGGTTTTCTCCTTCTATGTTATTTTGCTGAGACTAATGGCTTCCAGCTCCATCCATGTTACTGCAAAGGACATGATCTCATTTCTTTTTATGGCTGCATAGTATTCCATGATGTATATGTACCATGTTTTCTTTATCCAGTCTATCATTGATGTGCATTTGGGTTGATTCCATGTCTTTGCTATTGTGAACAGTGCTTCAATTAACAGATGTGTGCATGTATCTTTATAATGGAATAATTTATATTCTTTTAGGAATATATCCAGTAATGGGACTGCTGGGTTAAATGGTATTTCTGGTTCTAGGCTGTGATGAATTGCCACACTGTCTTCCACAATGGTTGAACTAATTTACAGTCCCATCAATGGTGTAAAAGCATCCCTATTTTTTCATAGCCTCACCAGCATATGTTGTTCCTTGACTTTTTAATAATCACCATTCTGACTGACATAAGATGGCATCTCATTGTTGTTTTGATTTGCATTCTCTAATGATCAGTGATGTTGAGCTTTTTTTCATATATTTGTTGGTCAGATAAGTGTCTTCTTTTGAGAAGTGTCTGTTCATGTTCTTTGCCCACTTTTTAATGGGGTTGTTTGATTCTTACTTGTACATTTGTTTAACTTCCTTGTAGATTTTGGATATAAGACCTTTGTCAGATGGATAGATTGCAAATTTTTCTCCCATTCCATAGGTTGTGTGTTCATTGTGATGAGAGTTTATTTTGCTGTCCAAAAATCTTTAGTTTAATTAGATCCCATTTCTCAATTTTTGAATTTGTTGCAATTGCATGTGATTTTTTTTTTCCATGAACTATTTGCCCATGCCTATGTCCTGAATAGTATTGCCTAGATTTTCTTCTAGGGTTTTTATCGTTTGGGGTTTTACATTTAAATCTTTAATCCATCTTGATTTAATTTTTGTATAAGATGTAAGGAAGGGGTCCAGTTTCAATTTTCTGCATATGGATAGCCAGTTTTCTTAGCATCATTTATTAAATAGAGAGTCATTTTCCCATTGCCTGTTTTTGTCAGGTTTGTCAAAGATCAGATGGTTGTAGATGTGTGGTCTTATTTATGAGTTCTCTATTCTGTTGCATTGGTCTATGTGTCTGTTTTTGTCCCAGTACCATGCTGTTTTGGTTACTGTAGGCTTGTAGTATAGTTTGAAGTCAGGTAGCATGATGCCTCCACCTTTGTTGTTATTGTTTAGGATTGTCTTGGCTATATGGGCTTGTTTTTGATTCCATATGAACTTAAAGTAGTTTTTCTAATTCTGTGAAGAAAGTCAATGATAGTTTAATGGAAATAGCATTGAATCTACAAATTACTTTGGAAAGTATGGCCATTTTTATGATATTCATTCTTCCTATCCATGAGCATGGAATGTTTTTCCATTTGTTTGTGTCCTCTCTTATTTCCTTGAGCAGTGGTTTGTAGTCCTCTTTGAAAAGGTCTTACACTTCCTTTGTTAGCAATATTCCTAAGTACTTTATTCTCTTTGTAGCAATTGCAAATGCAAGTTCATTTTTGATTTGGCTCTCGGCTTGTCTATTGTTTATGTATAGAAATGCATGTGATTTTTGCACATTAATTTTATATCCTGAGACTTTGCTGAAGTTGCTTATCAGCTTAAGGAGCTTTTGAGCTGAGATGATGGGGTTGTCTAGATATAGGATCATGTCATCTGCAAACAGAGACAGTTTGACTTCCTCTCTCCCTATTTGAATATCCTTTATGTCTTTCTCTTGCCTGACTGCCCTGGCCAGAACTTGAAATACTATGTTGAATAGGAGTGGTGAGAGAGGGCATTCTTGTCTTGTGCCAGTTTTCAAGGGGGAATGCTTCCAGCTTTTGCCTATTCAGCATGATATTGGCTGTGGGTTTGTTATAAATGGCTCTTATTATTTTGAAATATGTTCCATCAATACTTAGTTTACTGAGAGTTTTTAACATGTGGTGATGTTGAATTTTATCAAAGGCTTTTTCTGCATCTATTGAGATAATCATGTGGTTTTTGTCTTTAGTTCTGTTTATGTGATAAATCACATTTATTGATTTGTGTATGTTGAAGTAGCCTTGCATCCCCGGGATGAAGCTAACTTGATCATGGTGGATAAGCTTTTTGATGTGCTGCTGGATTCGGTTTGCAAGTATTTTATTGAGGATTTTCACATCAATGTTGTATTAGTCTATTTTCTTGCTGCGATAAAGATGTACCTGACACTGGGAAATTTACAAAAGAAAAATGTTTAACAGCCTTACAGTTCCACATGACTGGCGAGGCCTCACAATCATGGCAGAAGGCAAGGAGGCAAGGAGGAGCAAGTCACAGTTTACATGGATGGCAGCAGGCAAAGAGGGAGAGCTCCTTTTGGGAAACTCCCCATTATAAAACTATCAAATCTCATAGGACTTATTCACCATCATGAGAAAAACATGGGAAAGACATGCCCTCCTCATTCAATTACCTCCTACGGGGTCCCTCCCACAATACATGGGAATTCAAGATAAGATTTGGGTGGGAACACAGCCAAACCATATCCTTCCACTCCTGCCCCTCCCAAATCTCATGTCCTTTCGTTTCAAACAATCATGCCTTCCCAACAGTCCCCCAGAGTCTTAACTCATTTCAACATTAACTTAAAGGCCCTCCGTCCAAAGTCTCATCTGAGACAAGGCAAGTCTCTTCTGCCTATGAGCCTGTAAAATGAAAAGTAAGTTAGTTACTTCCTAGACACAATGGGAGTATAGGTATTGGGTAAATACAGCCATTCCAAATGGGAGAAATTGGCCAAAATAAACGGGCTAAAGGATCTAGAGTGTCCAAAAATCCAGCAAGGCAGTCAAACTTCAAAGCTCAAAAATGATCTCCTTTGACTCCAAGCCTCACGTCCAGGTCACACTGATGCAAGAGGTGGGTTTCCATGGTCTTGGGCAGCATCACCCTGTGGCTTTGCAGGGTACAACTCCTCTCATGACTGCTTTCATGGGCTGGTGTTGAGTGTCTATGGCTTTTCCAGGCACACAGTGCAAGCTGTCAGGGGATTTACCATTCTGGGGTCTGGAGAATGGTGGCCCTCTTCTCACAGCTCCACTAGTCAGGCAACCAGTGGTAACACTGTGTGGGGGCTTCAACCCCACATTTCCCTTCCACAGAGGTTCTCTGTGAGGGCCTCACCCCTGCAGCAAACTTCTGCCTGGACATCCAGGCATTTCCATACATCCTCTGAAATCCAGGTGGAGGTTCCAAAACCTCAATCTTGACTTCTGTGCACCCTCAGGATCAACACCACATGGAAGCTGCAAAGGCTTGGAGCTTGTACCCTTTTCTCCATGGCTAGAGTGGCTGGGATGCAGGGCACCAAGTTCCTAGGCTGCACAGAGGGTCTGGAATGCAGGGCACCAAGTCCCCAGGCTGCACAGCAGGGGGGTCCTGTCTCCATCCCATGAAACCATTTTTTCATCCTAGGCTTCTGGACCCATGATGGGAGGGGCTGCTGTGAAGGTCTCTGACATGCCCTGGAGACATTTTCCCCATTGTCATGGAAATTAACATTTGGCTTCTCCTTACTTATGGAAGTTTCTGTAGCCGGCTTGAATTTCTCCCCATAAAATGGGTTTTTCTTTTCCATCACATCATCAGGTTGCAAATTTTTTGAACTTTTATGCTCTGTCTTCCTTTTAAAACTGAATGTCTTTACCAGCACCCAAGTCACCTCTTGAATACTTTGTTTTTCTGCCAGATACCCAAAATCATCTCCCTCAAGTTCAAAGTTGCACAAATTTCTGGGGCAGGGACAAAATACTCCCAGTCTCTTTGCTAAAACAGCAAGGGTCACATTTACTCCAGTTCCCAACAAGTTTCTCATCTTCATCTGAGACCACCTCAGCCTGGATTTCATTGTCCATATCATTATCAACATTGTGATCAAAGCCATTCAACAAGTCTCTAGGAAGTTTCAAACTTTTTCACATTTTCCTGTCTTCTTATGAGCTCTCCAAACTATTTCAGCCTCTGCCTGTTACCCAGTTTCAAAGTTGCTTCCACATTTTTGGGTATCTTTACAGTAGTGCCCCACACTACTGGTACCAATTCACTGTATTAGTTCATTTTCACACTGTTGTTAAGGACATACTTGAGACTGGGCAATTTACAAAAGAAAGAGGTTTAATGGACTTAGAGTTCCACGTGGCCAGGGAGGCCTCAAAATTATGGCAGAAGGCAAGGAGGAGCAAGTCATGTCTTACATGGATGGCAGCAGGCAAAGAGAGAAAGCTTGTGCAAGGAAACCCCCTTTTATAAAACCATCAGATCCCTTGTGACTTATTCATTATCACAAGAACTACACAGGAAAGACCTACCCCCATGATTCAATTACCCCCCACTGGGTCCCTACCACAACACATGAAAATTCAAGATGAGATTTGGGTGGGGACACAGCCAAACCATGTCAAATGTTCATCAGGGATATTGGCCTAAAGTTCTCTTTATTTGTTATATCTCTGCCAGGCTTTGTTATCAGGATGATGCTGGCCTCATAAAATGAGTTTCAGAGAAGTCCATTCTTTTCAATTGTTTAGAATAGTTTCAGAAGGAATGGTACTAAAACAGCCTTGTTGTTTTGGGTAAGTACCAAGGTTCTTGCTCTCACAGCTGAGGAAATCATGGACATGGATGCAGCACACAGAGTGAGAGTGGAGCAGGAGTTTAATGGGCAAAAAGAAAGAACAACTCTGTCACAGACAGGGGTCCTGGACAAGTTTGCAGGTTGTAGTAAAAATATCAGGATTTGTATAAATAAATAGTGAGGTAGGGGCATCTTATCTTTATAGGGACTGAAGAACCCATTAGGACCAGGTGGGCCATCTGCATAGAGCAGTGTTTCTAGCAGCCCCCACCCTATTCTTTGATCATGCAGGCAGGTCCTTAGTTTGAGCTGCTTATCTGCATGTGCTGAAAGGAAAGGGGGCAGTTTCTGTGCCTGTTTCCAGGAAACTTCTTGCAGCTGCAGGCATCCCCCACTACTTCCCCCACCTTGTAACCTTCCAGCTTCTCTATCTTAGTGTGCCTAAAGAAAGGGAAAGGAATGTGCTTGTTAAGGCCCACTGTTTTT
Source organism: Homo sapiens (assembly GCF_000001405.40). Lineage (NCBI taxonomy): Eukaryota > Metazoa > Chordata > Mammalia > Primates > Hominidae > Homo > Homo sapiens. The sequence continues at coordinate 4,451,181 of NC_000024.10, read as the reverse complement.
ACTGGAGCCCATCATATGTATGTGAACTTTGGTAATTACCTAGGCAGCTCCTCCTGTGTGCCTGAGTTGCTTATCTTTGTTTTACAGCTTGATCTTCCAGAATGCTCTTTGTTAGTCTTTGAACTGTGTGTGGTTAGAAAGGGATCAATTTCTGATCTGCTTTTTGTTAGAAGGAAAATTTTCTCCTGGGGACTCTCTTTAATCTAACGGTATACCTAAATAATTTCTTTATATTTCCTATAACAGTACCAGATCCTCTTTGTACCTCTGGTACATTTTGGTTGTAAATCCACCTGGTCCTGGGCTTTTTCTGGTGGTAGTCTATTTATCACTGCCTTGATTTCAGAAAATGTTATTAATCTATTCAGGGATTTGATTTCTTCCTGGTTTAGTCTTGGGAGGGTGTATGTGTCCAGAAATTTATCCATTTTTTGGTAGATTTTCTAGTTTATTTGTTTAGAGGTGTTTATAGTATTCTCTGATGGTTGTTTGTATGTCTATGGGGTCAGTGTTGATATTCTCTTTTTCATTTTTATTGTGTCTATTTCATTATTCTCTCTTTTCTTCTTTATGAGTCTAGCTAGCAGTCTATTTTATTAATTTTAAAAAAATAACTCCTGGATTCATTTATTTTATAAAGGGATTTTCTAGTCTCTATCTCCTTCTGTTATGCCCTAATCTTAGTTATTTCTTGTCTCCTGCTAGCTCTTGGTTTGTTTGCTCTTGGTTTGCTAGTTCTTTCAGGTATAATATTAGGGTGTCAATTTGAGATATTTCTAGCATTCTGATGGGGGCATTCAGTGCTATTAATTTCTCTCTTAATATTGCTTTAGCTGCATCCCAGAGATTCTGGTACATTGTCTCTTTGTTCTCATTGGTTTCAAAGAACTTCTTTATTTTTGTCTTAATTTCATTATTTACCTAGGGGTCTTTCAAGATCAGTTGTTCAATTGCCATATTGTTGTGTGCTTTTGAGTGAATTTATGTGCTTTTGAGTGAATTAAGTTCTAATTTGGTTGAACTGTGGTTTGAGATACTGCTTGCTATTATTTAAGTACTTCTGTATTTGCTGAGGAATGTTTTACTTCCAACTACGTGATCAATTTTAGAGTAAGTGCCATGTGGCACTGAGAAGAATGTATATTCTGCTGCTTTGGGGTGGAGAGTTCTTTAGATATCTATCAGGTTTAGGTGATCCAGAGCTGAGTTCAAGTCCCAAATATCCTGGTTAGTTTCTTGTCTTGATGATATGTCTAATATTGACAGTGGAGTGTTAAAGTCTCCCACTGTTATTGTGAAGGAGTCTGTCTTTTTTATGTCTCTAAAAACTTGTTTTACACATCTGGGTGCTCCTGTATTGGGTGCATATATATTTAGTATTGTTAGTTCTTCTAGTTGAATTAATTCCTTTACTATTATGTCTTGCCCTTCTTTGTCTTTTTTGATCTTTGTTGGTTTAAGGTCTATTTTGTCAGCAACTAGGATTGCAACCCCTGATTTTTTTCTACTATTTGCTTGGTAAATTTTCTCCATCCCTTTATGTTGAGCATACGTGTGTCTTTCAACATGAGATGAGTCTCTTGAATACAGCACACCAATGGGTCTTGACTCTTTTACAGTTTGCCATTCTGTGTCTTTAAATTGGAGCATTTAGCCCATATACATTTGATGTTAATATTGTTATGTGTGAATTTGATCCCATCATCATGATGCTACCAGGTCATTTTGCAGACTAGTTGATGCAGTTTCTTCATAGTGTCTTTGGTCTTTGTACTTCAGTGTGTTTCTGCAGTGGCTGCTACCAGTTCGTCTTTTCTTATTTAGTGCTTCCTTCATAAGCTCTTGCAAGGCTGGCCTCATGGTGGTGAATTCCCTCAGCATTTGATTGTCTTAAGAGAATTTTATTTTCCTTCAGTTATGAAGCTTAGTTTGGTCAGACATGAAATTCTAAGTTGGAAATTCTTTTGTTTAAGAATGTTGAATATTGGCCCCCACGCTTTTCTGGCTTGTAGGGTTTCTGCTGAGAGGTCTGCTGTTTGTCTGATGGGCTTTCCTTTTAGGTGACCTGGACTTTCTCTCTGGCTGTCCCTCACATTTTTTTTCTTCATTTCAACCTTGAGAACCTGATGATTATGTGTCTTGTGGTGACCTTCTCAAAGAGTATCTTATTGGAGTTCTCTGGATTTCCTGAATTTAAATGTTGGCCTGTTATGCTAGGTTGTGGAAGTTCTCCTGGATGATATCCTGAAGTGTGTTTTCCAACATGGTTCCATTCTCTCCATCTCTTTCAGGTACTCCAATCAGTTGTAGATTTGGTCTTTTAACATAGTTCCATAGTACTTGGAGGTTTAATTCAATACTTTTTTTTTTCTTTTTTCTCTAATCTTGTCTGCCTGCTTTATTTCAGCAAGATTGTCTTCAAGTTCTGATATTCTTTCTTCCACTTGATTAATTTGGCTATTGATATTTGTGTGTGTGCATCACAAAGTTCCCATGCTGTGTTTTTCAGCTCCATCAGGTCATTTATGTTTCTCTCTAAACTGGTTATTCTAGTTAGCAGCTCCTGTACCTCTTATCAAGGCTCTTAGATGCTTTGCATTGGGTTTGAATATGCTCCTTTAGCTCAGTAAAGTTTGTTATTACCCACCTTCTGAAGCCTACTTCTGTCAATTCATCTCAACCTCCACCCAGTTCTGTGCCCTTGCTGGAGAGGAGGTGTGATCATTTGTAGGAGGAGGGGCCCTCTGGCCTTTTGAAGTTTCAACATCTTTTTATTGATTTCTTCTCATCTTAATTAGTTTGTCTAGTTTTGTTCTTTAATGTTACTGACCTTTGGATGGGGTTATTGTGAGGACTTTATTATTGATGCTGTTGCTGTTGCTTGCTGTTTGTTTGTTTTTTAACAATCAGGCCCCTCTTCTGCTGGGCTGCTGCAGTTTTCTGGGGGTTCGCTTTAGGCCCTATTCACCTGGCTCCCCCCTGCACCTAGAGATGTCACCCAAGGAGGCTGCAGAGCAGCAAAGGTTGGTGCTTGCTCCTTCCTCTGGAACCTCTGTCCCTGAGGGGCACAGAGCTAATGCCAGAAGGAACACTCCTGTATAAGGTTTCTGGTGATGCCTGTTGGGGTGTCTCACACAGTCAGGGGCCTCAGGATCCAGGACTTGCTTAATGAAGCACACTGGCTGCCCCTTGGTGGAGGGGGTGTGCCATGCTGGGGGAAACCCAACTTGTCTGGGATGCCCAGATTCCTCAGAGCCAGCAATGGGGAGGACTAAGTGTGCTTGTCCATGGAGACCATAGCCATGACTCCCCCTAGGGGCTCAGGCCCAGGGTTATCAAAGTTCTGTCCCTAAACCCCTGGCTGGAGTTGTTGAAGTTCCTTCAGGGAGGCCCCACTCAGTGAGGAGGGATAGGTTGGTGTCTGTCCTAAAGAGGCAGTCTGGCCACAACCTGCCACAGCCAGTGTCAGGCTCTATGGGGAATCCATCCTGTATCCAAAATGTCCAGTCTCCTTGGCACCATCAGGGAAAAAAATGGCAGCCTGGAGCTGCAGTGATGGCTACCACTCCTCTTCCCAGGAGTTCAGTCATCTTAGGCAGTATGCAGTATGGCTGCCACCCCTCCCCTGGGGAGCTCAGTCACCTTAGGCAGCAGGCAGCTGCTTTGAGGATGGCCATCCTTCCCCCGGGGAGCTCAGTTGTCTTAGGCAGCAGTCAGCTGCCGTGATAATGGCCACCCCTCTCCCCAGCAACTTGGTAGTCTTAAGCGGTCTCCAGCCAAGTGGCCGTTGAGAATCTGCACAGGTCTGTTGTGACTCAATGCCTTGGTGGCATGGACTCATGATTGGGATCTCCTGATTCATGGGTTGCACAGATTCATGAAAAAAACATGGTTTTCCAGGCTGGATAGCACAATCACTCACCACCTCCTTTGGCTGAGGTTTGGGGCTCACCTTGCCCTGTGTGGCTCCCAGGTGGGCCATTGCACCACCCTGCTTTTTCTTGTTCTCCGTGGGTCATGTCAAATACCTAGTTAGTCTTGATGAGAAAACCTGGATACCTCTGTTGCCAGTTCAGAATTTGCACACTGTTTTTGTTCTAGGTGGGAGCCTCCGATTGCAGCTGTTTCTAGTCTGCCATCTTGGCCAGACCCCCAATTTTTCTTAATTATTCTCTCCACTGCAAAAATATATTTATACATATTCAAAGTTTTAGTCACAGTACTCCCTGAAACCTGCCATTGTGGTGCAGTTAAATAAATATCCAACTGCTTCTGAGTGCAATTGTAAAACTATTGCAAAGAAGAGTTTATGTAGCTGGAAAAAATGAGATAGGGACTGTGTTAGACTCTTGACCTTACAGTAGCTATTTTTTCCATAACCACGTCTGTTTCCTATGTTTCTTTTAGAGTATTGTTAGAAATTTTTGGTGCCAGAAACCACAGAGGATTCTAGCTCCAAGGAAGCAATTTGGAAATATACTTTTTAGGAAAATAGATAAAATTTTTCTCCCTCTATATTAAGTAAGAAATACTACTTTCACCCTTAAGATGGCAAATCAATCCACTTGAGAAATGAATTGGGATCTGTCATCCTCAATATTAAAATGGAATATTCTAATATCCATTAGAATATTAAAAATGATTGAGATATGTATACTTGAAATTACATTTGTTAGAATCAAGAATTATTTGTTCAGCTTGGTAGAAACAGAATGGCTATCAATAATGTAATTGTTTGCATATAATACATGTTTTACTAGTGCATTGAGAAGGTAGGATAGTGTAACTTCTATTTACAGGGAGTTTGGTATGGAATTTAGAAAACAATTTCTTCTTTACTCATATCTGTCTAGTGAGACTTTGTAAAGAAAAATGGTTGCAGAAATTATTTATGTGAGAGAAGAGAGAAATGTTAGTGATTTGAGAAAAAAGAGAAGGGTTCTTGAGACTTACCGTGGAATTTCAGACTTGGATGTAATTATTGCTCAACTTTTTGAAATTATAATAACAATATGTAACAACTGCTTCTACCATCACTTTATAGACTGTATTGGAACAAAAAATTTCTAAGGGAGATATGAGACCTCTTAATGTTTTGCTGTTTCTTTTCATCTCGCTTGGCATATACAGCCTGTGGAAATAACATAATGTGCCTCAGATTCTAACTGATATGAGGAAAATTAAATACAAAGATGAGTAGCTTTTCTCAGAGATATGTTATAAATTAAACATTTGTTCAGAAAAGAAGCAGTCTCTGTAGAGAGTATTAGTCATATGACATAAGACAGAAATACTGAGGACAAATATATATTCAGGAAACTCTGCAGCAGGAAAAAGTAATTTACAAAGTATGGACATAACCAAGTTAAGCTTATGCTATTTCTAAACCTCACAAGAGACTTACTGAATTAATATCTTCCCACAACAAGGAGTAAAATAATACTTACTAAAGAGTAAACCACTTTATAACACTGCCACTTCATACCCCAAGCTATAGACAATTAGCAACACATAAGGCAGCATTAGTGGCACCTTAATATTTTGAATACACTTGTTAAACTTTTCAGCTCTCTTTTCCTTGTTGTTTTACCTCATGTTTTATAATTGGCAGGGATGTAGCACTTATACAAAATTTATTTGAATAATCTCTAATGTGGCTACTATTTAAAAAACTTCTCTAATGAAGATTAACAGTTAAGGATAATGCATTATCATAGGTATTTGACATCCTAAAATGAGATAAATATTTCATTAGTCTCATTGTTTGTTATTTATTATTATCAGTTCAACTCACTCTATAGTCTTGAATGGACATTCTATAAATCTCAGAGCATAATAGAATTTAGAAAATTTTTACTGAGTAACCTCAAATTTTGCAAATGAAGGTTATTATTAGAGAACAAGACTTATGAGGTCGTCTTTTTCCTCTTAGTGAGAAAATACAGTAAAGAAATTGAATAAAAACTACAGCAGACACATTTCCAAAGTTTACCTCTAATCCATTCTTTCTGAATTTCTGTCTCCAGACTTTTCCTAAGGGCAGAAATCTCACTCAATGTGCCAGCAAATATAGGCCAGAAGTGTGTGCTTGTGGGATGAGGTGGAGGGGAGGGTATTAACATTTTAGAGAGTAAACCCTCAAACCAATTGAAGAAGAGAGTATGGGGGGACAATTATGAGTTGCATTTTCCTTTATTCCTCACTGGGTTTCCAACAGGATTATGTTCCGCTTTTCCACAGTGGTAAGCAACTCTTAACATGCTGCTATATATCAGCTTTCACTTTTTTTCTTTCTCACCCTCCTGCCTTCTCACTTTGGCTTCCTGGAACTACCTTTCCCCAAAACCATCTGCCTCAAACCGTTGTCTCAAGTTCTGTTTTCAGGTAAAGCCAAATTGATAAAATAATTTAACAATCTCGTCTCCATTAAGAAATATATCCTCATATTAAATCATATACATATAGTGATACATTGGAATTACATAAAACCATAACCCATTGGGCATGGAATTTCTGTGAAGTCATCTCCTTTTAACGTTTCAAATACTCCCAAAGCTCTACCTCCAGTTTCTACTAAGCCTTGCCAAGCAGATATTCCTACTAGACAGATTCAAAGCAATTGATTTTTACACTGTCACTTCTTCCCACCACAAACACATGCACTCATGTGCAAACAGGTCCTCTTCTTAAATTGTCAATCTTGGGAAAATTAGCAAAAAGCAGTGGTGATTAGTACGGCAATAAAATATTTACACATGTGCGTCAAGAGTGGTAGTATAAATAAGTAGGGACATTGTTGGGGAATTTGGTTAAAAAATATCAAAATTTTAAATATGCATACATTACAACGAAATATTATTACAAGAATCTCTTTGTTATAAAGAAATAGTCATATATGTACACTAAACACAAATCTCTTTATTGTAGTATTATATTTTTAATAGTGAAATGTTGCCAAAAAATTAATGTACATCTGTAGAATAATAGTTTAAAATATTATATGTTGGGAGGTTCCAGTTCAACATGGCTGACTGAAGACATCAGATGCCTGTTTTTTCCAGAAAAAAGAACCAAAATTATGAACAGATAATCACACTTTGAATAGACTATTAAAGAAGAAAATATTAGAGTCCAACAGAGAACTCAGGGGAAATGCCTAAGGCACAGAAGTAGGAGGAAACAAGAAGCCAACTTTTCTGAGAATTGGTCAGGCGCCTGTAGAGGCTTGGTGTTCTGGGGAGAGGGTGAGTGGGAGAGTTTTGATGTTCACATTCTTGCCATAGACTGTTGGGATCCAAACCACAGGAGAGTTCCTCTACTGCCACAAACCTTGGCATTAGTATGAGTGGTAATTTGGAGACCTCTTGAGAGCATTGCTCCAGACTGGGAACTCATGCTAAATCACTCACCCCTCCCCTCGGACCTGAGAGGCTGTGGCAGGGCACCATTGTGAAGTGTAGCTATCATGGGACTGCATCCTGCCCTGGGAACTACAGCACCCCATCTCTACATTCTAAAAGCTACTGCTGACATTCCCCAATGTCCACCTAGAGAGCTGCAGTGACACTGCACTGGCTGAACCGAAAGGTGCTTCAGGGTCCCCAGTAATCTAGCCTAGAGACAGTTTTCCTCCCTGGGGGAAGGGCAGTGCAGCACACCAAAAATGCAGTCCCTGGCCCAGAGAAAACTGGAATGCATGCGTTCCAGAGCCTGAAAGCTCTCTGTTTGGCATTTTAAGAAATGACTCCACCCCCAGCAGTGGCACAAACTCTGTGCTTGGCCTTTCAAGGGACATGCAAAATCTCCTCCTACCTTCCAAGCAACCTTTTTGCTTAGAATTATGTATACATAATGAAACCCTTTCTCCCACACTGCATATAGTTGCAGGCATAGCTGCTGTTGCTGCTGTAGTTGGAGGCTGAAGTGGGTGAGCTGAAGTGCTGCCTGTCTGGGACTATGAGTGGCAACTGTGATTTCACTGGTTGCATGTCTTTGGAGCTTAGGCCCATGTATAGGCTGGGGTCTGTCCCACTCTCTATACAGAGCTACGGTGTTGTTACCATAGAAAGCAGGAGAACCTGAAAGCTGTGTGTTTGAAGCTGTGGGTGAAGACTGCAGTGCAGCCACTGCCAGCTACTGCAGAAGTTTAGTACTGAGCAACAAGTCTAGTGACTTCTATGACACTGGGTTACCTTTCAGACTAGAAGTAAACTTCAGCAGTTAATGGATTATCTTAAATGTGGCCACAGTCAGGACAGGAAAGTGAGCCCTGCCAGGACAAAGGCATGAGAGGTAAGCAGGTTATACTGCCTACCAAGCCTGTGGCGCTGAGACTTCAGTGCAGTAGCAATAAAGCCTCACACAAATATTTTGCCAGGGGCTTGAAAAATCTTCTGCCACTCTTGTCAAGGCTGGAGTTCACATCTTCTATAGGAGTACCTGATTGTTTGCTTGCCCAGTCCAGCCCCACAAAGCTTCACCTATCTCTGTGAAACAGAGTGTATGATCCAAGCTTTTGGGGAGTCAGCAGCCCAATCCATCACCTGGAAAGCAGAGCATTTTTCCTGGGGAACAGAGGTCAAGCGTAAGTTCTACTGCCACCACTACAGCTGATTCTTACTTGAGAGTACCACCTACTAGCCTGAGGGTTGTCTTATGCAACCCATTAGAACAACTGCCAACACCAGAGCAAGGCCCTTTGAACAAGAAAAGATTCTCATGACCACTGCTATCCCCATCACCCACACCACAGTGGCTACAAAGAAGGTCATCAGCAAGCTCATCCACATGGTACACTGCTACTAAAACTGGCATTTCAGAAAGCCACCAAACAAATGCTATTTATAATTAATAAAATCCTGCAGAGTCTTTGCCAATGCACGCACCCAGAAGCAAAATCAAATTGCCCTACCCAACATACAGCATAGTCATATCTTCAAGAAAAAAAATTTACTCCAACAAAATTAAGTTGCAAAATAAGAAGTGACTGTTAATTTAGATGCACATAAATTAACATAAAGATACAGAAAGTATTAAAAAGCAAGGCATTACAACACTGCCAAAGAAACACAGTTCTCCAGCAATAGATTCTAAACAAAAAAAAATAACAATTTTTGATATGCTAGATGTAAAATTCAAAATATTTATTTTAAAGAAACTCAATGAAATACAAGAAATGTGATTCCAATACAAATAAAACAGAAAATCAATTCAGGATATGAACAAGAAATTTACTAAGGAGACAGATATCTTTAAAAAAGACAAATATAACATAGAAATAAAAAATTAACTGAAGGAATTGCAATATATACACAAATCTTTAAAAAATAGAGTAGGCCAAGAAGAAGGAAGAATTTCAGATGTTGAAGGCAGGTCTTTTGAAATAATACTGTCAGACAAAAATGAAGAAAAAAGAATAAAAGAGAATGAACAAGACATTTGAGACATATAAGACTACATAAGGTAATTGAACTTATAAATTATTGGTATTCCTGATGGGAAAGAAAAATCTAAAATTTAGAAAACATATTTAAGAGAATATTTGATGAAAACTTTCCAAGTTTAGCAAGACATATAAATATCCAGACACAAGAGGCCCAATGATCTCCAAGAAAATATATTACATAAAGGGTTTTAAAATGGCTGATTGATATCAAATCATCTAAAGTCAAGATGAAGGAATTAATTTTATAATCAGTGTATTAGGCTGTTCTCACATTTCTATAAAGAAATACCTAAAGCTGGGTAATTAATGAAGAAAAGAGGTTTAATTGGCTCGTGGTTCCACAGGCTTTACTGAAAGCATGATGCTGGCATCTGCTTGGCTTCGGGAGATGCTTTGGGTAACTTACAATCATTGCAGAAGGCAAAGAGGAAGCCAGCACTTCACATGGCCAGAACAGGAGGAAGAAAAGGGGAGGTGCTAAACATTTTCTAACAACTAGATCTGGTGATAACTCAATCACTCAATATCACAAGAACAGCAACACAGGGATGGTGCTAAACCATTCAGGAGAAACTGACCCCAGGATCCAATCATCCTCCATTAGGCCTCACCTCCAGCATTGGGGATTACATTTCAATATGAAATTTGGGTTGGCACACAGATTCAAACCATGTCATTCCACCCCTGGCCCTTCCAAAATCTTGTGTCCTCACATTTCAAAATACAATTGTGCCTTCCCAATAATTCCCAAGATGTAAACTTTTTCCATCATTAACTCAAAAGTCTCATCTGAGGAAAGGCCAGCCCTTTCCACCTATGAGCCTGTAAAATCAAAAACAAGTTAGTTACTTCCAAGATACAATTGCAGTATAGGCATTGGGTAAATATTCCCATTCCAGAAGGCAGAAATTGGCCAAAAGAAAGGGGCTACAGGCCCTATGCAAGTCCGAAATCCAGCAGGGCAGTCATTAAACCTTAAACTCTAAAATAATGTACTTTGACTCCATGCCTCATATCCAGGGCACACTGGTATAAGGGATGGTCTCCCAAGGCCTTGGGAAGCTTCATACTCATGACTTTGCAGAGATCAGCCCCAGCTGAAGTGCTCTCAAGTACTGGCATTGAGTGACTGCAGCTTTTCCACGTGCAGGGAGCAAGCTGCCATTGGGTCTACCATTCTGGAGGGGTCTGGAGGATGGTGGCCCTCTTCTGACAGCTCCACTATGCAGTGCCCCTGTTGGGATACTGTGTGGGGGCTCAAACCTCACATTTCTTTTCCATACTACCATAGCAGAGATTCTTGATAAGGGTGCTGCCCCTACAGCAGGCTTCTGCCTAGACATCCAGGCTTTTTCACACATTCTCTGAAATCCAGTTGAAGTATCTCCAGCCTCAACTCTTGCTCTCTGTGAAACCACAGGCTTAACTCCATGTGAAAGCAGCCAAGGTTTGTGGCCTACACCATCTGAAGCAGTGGTCTGAGCTGTACCTGGGTCCCTTTTACCCAGAGCTGGAGCTGGAATAACTGGCATGTGGAAAGCAGTGTCCTGAGGCTGCAGTGGTGTCCTGGGCCTGGCACACAAAGGGCAGTGGTGTCCTGGGCCTGGCACACAAAACCATTCTTCCCTCCTAAGCCTCCTGGCCTATGATGGGAGAGGCTGCCACAAAGGTCTCTGAAATGCCTTCTAGGCCTTTTCCCCATTGTCTTGGCTATTACTACTTGGCTCCTCTTTACTTATGCACATTTCTGCAGTCTGCTTGAATTTTTCCCCTGAAAACAGGCCTTTTTTTCCTACCATATAATCAGGCTGCATATTTTTCAAGCTTTTTTGCTCTGCTTCCCTTTTAAATATAAGTTCCAGTCACAATATCCCACTCCTCAGTACCAATTTTCTATATTAGATAATTATTGCATGGCTATAAAGAAGAACCTAAGGCTAGGTAATTTATAAAGAAAAGAGGCTTAATTGGCTCATATTTCCACAGGCTGTACAGGAAGCATAGGGTTGGCATCTGACTGGCATCTGGGGAGGCCTCAGGACACATAATTATGGGGAAAGGCAAAGGGTAAGCCAGCACTTCACACGGCCAGAGCAGGAGGAAGAGAAGGGGGAGGTGCTGCAAATAAAAAAAAAATAAAAAATAAAAAATAACAATTCTAGATATATGTGCACCCAACACAACAGCACCCAAATTTATAAAACAAATATTACTAGACCTGTATAGAGACATAGACAGCAATACAATAATATTGAGAGAATTCAGAAGTCCCATCACAGCACTAACTGGCAATAACTCACTCACTCACTATTGTGAGAGCAGCACACAGGAATGGTGCTAAGCCATTCAGGAGAAACTGACTCCACAATCCAATCACTTTCCATCAGGCCCCACCTCTAATATTGGGGATTACATTTCAACATGAGATTTGGGCAGGGAGACAGACCCAACCCATATCAATCAGTAAGAGAAAAATTTCTAGTCCCCTATAAAGAAAATCCCATTAGACAAACAGCAGACTTCTCAGTAAAACCCTACAAGCCAGAAGAGAATAGGATAGGATTTTCAAAGTACTGAAATTTTAAAAAGCTGCCAGCCAGAATTTTATATTCAGTTAGACTAAGTTTTATAAATGGAGGAAAAAGAAAGTCTTACTTAGAAAGTCAAAGGTTAAAAATATTCATCAGCATTAGACTGTCCCTACAGAAAAAAATCCAAGAAGTCCTAAACATGAAAAAAGGATATGTTTTATCATAACACAAAAAAGTATAAAACTCATAGGTTTTATAAACCAATCACACACAAAAAAGAGAAAGGAATCAGATGGCAATTCAACAGAATTTTATGAAATCACGAAGACAAACAGAAAAAGAAAGAAGCAAATAATTTATAAAATGACTAGATAACAATTCATAATAATACAGAAACAAAAACTCACATATAATAATACTAGCCTTTAATTTAAACAGATTAAATGCTTCACTTAAAATATATAAATGGACAGAATGGCTAAACAGAACATATTCCAATCATATATTGCTTACAAAAAACTCATCTGACCTGTGAAAACACATATAGACTGATGGTAAAGGGATTAAAAAACAAAATATTTCATGTAAAGAGAAACCAAAAATGAGCAAGAATATCCAGATTTATATCAGACAAAAGAGACTTTAAATCAGAAGCTGAGAAAGAAGACAGAGAATAACATTATATAATAATAAAAGGATCAATTCAGCAAGAGGATATAACAATTCTAGATATGTGCACCCGACACCACAGCACCCAAATTTATAAAACAAATATTACTAGACCTGTATAGAGATATAGACAGCAATACAATAATATTGAGAGAATTTAGAACTCCCATCACAACACAGAGAAATCACCAGGAGATAAAATCTTCTAAGAATTATTGGGTTTAAACTGAACTTTAGACCAAATAGACCTAACAAACTGTACAGCATATTCTACTCAACAACTACAGACTACACACTCTTCTTATCAGCACTTGAAACATTCTCCAAGATTGACCATATATTAGGGCACCAAACAAGTCTCAAAAAGTTCTTTTTTTTTTTGAGATGGAGTTTTGCTCTTGTTGCCCAGCCTGGAGTGTAATGACACGATCTCGGCTCACCACAACCTCCGCCTCCCAGGTTCAAGCGATTCTCCTGCCTCAGCCTCCCTAGTAGCTGGGATTACAGGCATGTGCCACCATGCCTGGCTAATTTAGTATTTTTAGTATAGATGGGATTTCTCCATGTTGGTCAGGCTGGTTTCAAACTCTCGACCTCAGGTGATCTGCCCGCCTCAGCCTCCCAAAGTGCTGGGATTACAGGCATGAGCCACTATGCCCGGCCTCAAAAAGTTCTTAAAAATTTAAATCATATAAAGTATCTTTTTAGACCACAACAAAATCCAACTATAAATATTGTGGGATCTGGCCAGCAGCCCACAATGCAACGGGGCTCTCTCTTTGTTCCCAGGCGGATCGGCAGGTTGAGAAATAATAGACACACACAAGATAGTGAAAGCTGGGTCCAGGGGGGTCACCACCTTCTGGTCCCGTGGTGCCAACAATGCACTGGATATACCAGCATTTATTATTAAGTTTAGTGAGGGCAGGGGTAGGTTAGTGAGGGATTTAGGGTTATTTGATTATGAGGTGAGCTGGTTACATGGGGATGAAGAAATTCTTTAACATAACATTTGTATGCAGAAGTACAGTATACAGAGATAAGAATTACAATATAGTGTGTGCGTCAGTAATTTCTAACAGAGCCTTAAAACAGAAACACAATCTTTCCATAACCTATGATTAACAAGATATTAATCAGCAGTAACAGTTGCAGCAAAAGCTGGTTACAAACAATCCGTAGAAATAGGACATGAAGCTAGACAACCGGTTAGACCAGAAATTCTCAGAAGGGAGTATGCCTTAACCCTAAAGAGGCCTAGAAGAGCTGTGGCAAGATGAGGGCATTTATAGCCCTATCTTATCCATATGGACAGGCGCCCCCCATGCGTCTGTTTATAGTCTCTCCACAAGGTTTGCATTCCATTCCCAGAGCTATGAACATCTGCTTTTCTGGGATAGGAATCTTGGTGATGTGAAACCTCCCTGACTGCACATTCATTCATAGGCTCTCTGCAGAGGGAAGCACATCACGTGCTGTTGGCTCATTCTGGCAGTCCAACTTGGCGTTGTCTTTACACAATCCTGTGTGCAATTTTGTATTTACAGTAATCAGGAGCATTTCATCTTTTATTCTGTAGCAATAGTTTCAGGGCATCTCCCTACATATAAATCAATACTGAGAGAATCTTTGGAAACTATACAAATGCATAGAAATTAACCAACATGCTCCTGAGTCATCCTTGAGTAAATAAAAAATTAAGCTGTAAATTAAACTTTTTTAAACACATGAAAATGGAAACACACATACCCAAATCTCTGGAATACATCAAAAGTAGTATTAAGGGGAAAGTTTATAGAATTAAATGCCTACGTCAAACAGTAGAAAGATCACAAGTTTACAACCTAATATTGCATCTCAACAAACTTGGAAAACAAGAAAATACCAAACTCAAAGTTAGAAAAAGAAAAGAAATGACAAAGATCAGGGCAGATTTAAATTGAATTGAGACAAAAAATACAAAGAGGAATATAAGGAATCAATGAAATATAAAGTTGGTTCTTCAAAAAGTTTTAAAAATTGGTAAACCTCTAGCTAATCAGGAAAATAAGAAAGAAGATCCACATGAACAAAATCATATATTAAAACAAATGAAGGCATTATATGGCAAACCCATAGCCAACATCACACTGAATAAGGGGAAGTTGAAACCATTCCCTCTATGAACTGGGACAAAACAAGGATGCCCACTTTCACCATTCCTATTCAGCATAGTACTGGAAATTCTAGGTGGAACAGAGAAAATAAAATTGCCCCTGTTCACTGATGTCATAACCTCATATCTATAAAACCCTAAAGACTCCAACAAAAAACTCTGAGAATTGATAAATCAATCAAGTTTCAGGATACAAAATCAACATATAACCATTGGTAGCATTTATATACACCAATAATAATTCAGCTAAGTACCAAATCAAGAAGACAACCCCATTTATAATAGCTACAAAAAAAATCTAGAAATATATTTAACCAAGGCAGTAAAAGACCTCTACAAGAAAATATACAAGACACTGATGAAATAAATTGTGGATGACACAAACAAATGGAAAAACACCACATAGTCATTAATCAGAAAGATCAATATTGTTAAAATGACTATACTGCCCAAAGCAATCTACAGATGCAATACAAACCCTATCAAAATATCAATGTGATATTTCAAAGAACTAGAGAAAACAATCCTAAAATCATATGGAACCAAAAAAAGAGCCCAAATAGGAAAATAAATTCTGAGAATAAAGAACAAAAACAGAAGAATCACGTTACATTGTTCAAATTATACTACATGGCTGTAAAATCAAAACAGCATCGTATTGGTATAAGATGGACACATAAATCATTGGTATAGAATATGGAAGCCAGAAAAGGGTCCACACACTTAAAACAAACTGATCATTGACAAAGTCAACAAAAGAATGCATTGTGGGAAAGACATCCTTTTCAAAAATGGTGCTGGGAAAATTGGATTTTCATATGCAGAATGATACTGGACCCCTTTCATTCACCATATACAAAATTTAACTGAATTATTGGGCATTTCTGCATTGTTATAAAGAAATACATTAGACAGCATAATTTATAAAGAAACAATTGTTTAATTGGCTCATAATTTTGAAGGATATACATGAGACTGCACCAATATTGCTCAGCTTCTGCGGAGGCTTCAGGGAGCTTTTATTCATGGCAGAAGTTGAAGTGGGAGCTTGTGTGCCACATGGCAAAAGCAGGAGCAAGAGAGGAAGAGTGGATGGGGAGGTGCCACACACTTTTAAAGCACCAGATCTCATTCAAACTCAGAACTAGATGTTATTTATTACTAAGGGAGTGGCCCAAGCCATTTATAAGAGATCTGCTGCCATGAATCAAACATCTCCCACCAGGGCCCAACTCCAACATCAGAGATTACAATTCAACATGCAATTTGGCTGGAGACAAATATCCCAACTATATGAGATGGATTAAAGATTTAAATGTAACGCCTAAAGCTATAAAAAATACTAGAAGACAACCTAAAGAAAACTTTTCTAGACATTGATGTAGGAAAAAAATTCACAACTAAGACTTCCAAAGCACAAGAAACAGAAACAAAAAATAGACAAATGGACTTAAAGAGCTTCTGTAAAACAAAAGAAATAAAAGATTGAACAGACAACCTGCAGTATGGGAGAAAATATTTGAAAACTATTAATACAGGGAGGAATTAATATCCAGAATTTATGAAGAACTCAAAAAACAAAAAAAAAACAACAAAATCAAATAACCCTATAAAGAGGTGAGCAAAAGAAAAATAGACATTTTTCAAAAGAAGACATGCATATAGCCAACAAATATATAAAAATGCTTATTGTCACTAATCATCAAAAAGTAAAATTTAAAATTAAAATGAGGTATTATCTTACACCAGTCAGAAGGGCAATAATAAAAAAGACAAAAAATAACAAATGCTGGTGAGGATGTGGAGAAAGTTGAGTGCTCGTATACTGTTGAAGCAAATATAAATTACTACAACCTCTATGAAAAACAGTATGGAGATTTCTCAAGGAATTAAAAATGGAAACACCATTGAATCCTATAATCTCACTACTGGGTATATATCCCCCAAAAAAGAAATAATTATATGAAAATATTACATACACTTGTGTGTTTATTACAGATCCTTTACAATAGCAAATATATGGAATTGACTTATGTATCCATCAATGGATGATTGAATACAGAAAATGTGGTATATATACACAGTGGAATACTATTCAGCCATAAAATAATGAGATCATTTCTTTTGCAGCAACATGGATGGAAGAAGAGGTCATTGTCTTATGAAAAGTAGACACAGAAAGAAAAATGTCAAATGTTCTCAGTTACACATGGGAGCTAAATAATGAGCACATATGGTCACAAAGTTTAGAATAATAAACAATGGAGACTCCAAAGAGTGTGAGAAGAAGGAGGGTGTTGAATAGTGAGAAATTACTTAATGGATACTTTATTTCTGCAATGGATAAATTAAAAGCCCTGCCTTCTCTAGTATACAATACATCTATGTAATGATATTACTCTTGCATCCCAACAAATTTATACAAATAAAAATATTCTATGTTTTGTAAACAAATTTGAAAGAATAAAGTAGAACTGCATGTATTGATATGGGAAAGTTTCCAAGGATTAGTGTAAAGAAAAATAAAAGCCAGTTGTCATAAACATAAGAATCAAATTACATAAAACATAAACAAAATTAAATGTTTATATAAAAATAAGTACACACTGGGATACTCATATGAGAATGCATGTGTTCTTTTGTACATGGGTGTGTAAATTCATGTAAATTCTATTGAATAACACCAATTGTGAGGCTTCATTAAAAAAGTAGAAGGTGATAGGGTGAGTGATAAAGGATTTCCCACTTTTAGGCTGTATAATTACATACTAATATGGTTTGGCTGTGTTCCCACCCAAATCTCATCTTGAATTATAACCTCCATAATCCCCAGATGTCATGAGAGGGACAGTGATTGGATCATGGGGGCAGGATCCTCCATGCTGTTCTGGTGACAGTGAATTAGTTCTCATGAGATCTGATGTTTTTATAAGCATCTGGCATTTCCCCTACTTGCACTTACTCTATCCTGCTGCCCTGTGAAGAAGGTGCCTGTTTCTCCATTGCCTTCCACCATGATGGTAAATTTCCTGAGACATCCCAAGCAATGTGTAAGTGTGAGTCAATTAAACCTCTTTTCTTTATAAATTACTCAGTCTTGGGTATTTTTTTTTTTTAGAGCAGCATGAGAATGGACTCATACATATAAAATTTGAATTGTTCCTGTTGTTTCTTTTTTCTCTTAAAAGACAGGGTCATACTCTGTCACCCAGGCTGGAGTGCAGTGTCATAATCATAGCCTACTGCAGCCTTGACCTTCTGGATTCAAGTAATCCCCCCACCTCAGCTTCTCAAGTTGCTAGGACTACAGGAAAATGCCAACATGTCCAGCTATTTTTTAATTTTTTTATTGTAGCGATGGGGTATTACTCTGTTGCTCAGACTGGTCTCAAACTTCTGGCCTCAAGTAATCTTCTCGCCTCAGCCTCCCAAAGTGGTGAGATTGCAGGTGTGAGTTACTGTGCCCAGTCTGAATTGTTTTTAATGACATAAACTAGATTGTTTTCAATTAATAAATAAAATAGTCAAGGTCAATAATTTCCTGCTGATATTTTAACACTTTGTAAATTTTTTCACTTATAACGTACTCTGAAAATATAAATGTGTTCATTACAAGTATATAATTACTTTACATTTTTGAGTTGGTCAGTAGAGAAGTCATGCATTCCTTTTATGTTTGGTTTGCTGAGTGTTTTTTTTTGTTTGTTTGTTGACTGGCTATAAAATATATTTAGTCAGATATTCCATACATAACATCTTTATGGTTAAAGTGAGAAGGTCTTTGTACTGAATATAATAATGAAACAATTGAGGAACTTTCTATCTTACACATTTGTTTTTCTCTTCCAAGTGCTCTAAGACAAAACGATATTGTAATAATTATTTTTTAATTTTATCTTATCTTGAGACAGAATCTCACTCTGTCACCCAGGCTGGAGTGCAGTGGCACGATCTTGGCTCACTGCAACCTCCACCTCCCAGGTTCAAGTGATTCTCCTGCCTCAGCCTCCTGAGTAGCTGGAATTACAGGTGTGTATCACTATGCCCTGCTAATTTTTGTATTTTAATAGAGATGAGGTTTCACCATGTTGTTCGGTCTGGTCTCGAACTCCTGACCTCAACTGATCCATCTGCCTTGGCCTCCCAAAGTGCTGGGATTAGAAGTGTAAACCATAACTCCTGGCCTGATATTGTAAGAATTATGTTCAGAAGATATATTTTGAAATGCTCCTGACATATAATTTTAGGTAATTTTTATATAACTAGCACAAGAATATGTCCATGAACAACAGGATTTACTGCCAAAATATAATCAACAGTGTCTACATGCATAGCTGATTTATGAAAAAATCTTTTAAAACATAATTTACCTTTCAATAATTTGATTTATAGAACTGTGACAGATATAGAAGACAAGTGATGGATTTTTTATATTGGTGATCCTCACACTGCTAAATTTGAGGTTGTGTTGGTATTTCCATTATAAACTCTTAATTTTAGGTATTTATAACTTGCAAAAATTCATTCAAATTGAAAACTTATTTTCTGCTTAAGAATTTCAAATCAGATCATTGAAGAAAGCAGGAAAAGAGTAGAGAAGAGAACATACCAATTAAGACAGGTTGCTACGCAAATGGAATAAAAGACTTTCAGAGACAGTGAATTACTACACAGAGAAGAGTTTCTGCACATTATTTATTTTCCAAGAGCCTTAAAGTTTTCACAGAATGTTAACTTGTGGAAAAATAGTAAAAAGAAATAATCGAGGGTTATTTTGGTGCTTCAGGAAACACTTGGTAAAATCTGGAAACATTTTGATTGTTGCACCAAGCTAGGATAAAATAACAAGGAATGGGGAGTGAGCAGGGTTTACTGACTTTTAATGTGTAGAGGTTAGAGATGCAGCTAATTATCTTACAATGCATCGAACACCATCCTGGGGTCACAGGCAAAGGGAGCTTCCAACTGAAATTGGTAGTGGTTTTGATGGACACAAATTTTCTTGAGTGGAGCCTTGGGGAGAAGCAGGGGCTGCTGCGGCTGTGAACGAGCTTAGGAACTCAGAAACTGACACCGATGGAGTGGGCAGACAGGGTAGGGTAAGGTCTGAAAGCCATGCTTGCTTTCTCAGTGGGGTAGCTCACAGGCTGGGGCAAGATGTGTGTAGGACACTGCAGGAGCGATATTGGCCTCACAAACTATGGCGGAGCTGGGTAAGGCCTCTTGCTACTGGCTATTCCCCATTCACTGGTGAACTATATGACACGGAAGAGGTGGCCAAGATGCCCTCTGGAACACAACATGATTGGCCTGAGGACCACCCCCAACCATCTCCCACAGTGGTCATGGCAAACTCACCCAAGGAGAGTCTGACCCCAGATCTGTCTAGCCCTGTCACTACCTGATGGTATTTCCCTTCCTGACATGGTAGACAAACAGAAAACATAGACATTTGGGGAGCTTTATGGCCCTGCCTATTACTTGACAAACCAAAACACTTACTCTGGCCATCTTAGGGCAAGCTTAGGGCCCCCTACTACTACCACAGCTGGTGCTATCTTGAAAGTGCCACCTCCTAGTTGGAGGTCAACCAACTCAGGCCATTACAGCAACTCATGACAGAACAACCCTGATTCCAGGCAGGAGAACAGAACACCTAATTTCACTGCTCATAGCATCCTGGCTAACTAGAGGTCTTTAGTATGTCCATGTGACAACTTCACTGCTAACATAACAAGCATTCAAGAAAGCAAGCACACTAAACATGTCTACAACCAAGGATTCTCATAGAGTCTACTTCACTTCCCTGTCACCTCTACCAGAGCAGGTGCTGGTATCCACAGCTGGGAGACTTGAAGACGGATCACATCACAGGACTCTTTGTAGATATCCAGCAGCACCAGCCAAGTCTGGTAGTCCTGCTGAGTGGCTAGACCCAGAAGAACAAAAACAATCACTGCAGTCCAACTCTCAGGAAGCCTCATCCCAAGAGGAAGGAGGACAGCACCACATCAAGGGATCACCCTGTGGGACAAGAGAATCTAAAGAGCAGGCTTTGAGTTTCAGATCTCTCCACTGATATAATATACCCAAATGAGAATGAATCAGAAAAGTAATTCTGGTAGTATGACAAAACAGGGTTCTATAACACCTCCAAAACATCACACCAGGTTTCCAGCAATCCATTCAAACAAAAAAGAAACTTCTGAATTGCTAGATAAAGAATTCAGAAGGTTGATTATTAAGCTACTCAAGGAGATAACAGAGAAAGGTAAAACACAACTTAAAGAAGTTGAAAAAATACAGCATATAGATTAAAATTATGTCATCATGTAAAAAAAAGCAATGACAACTTCTGGAAATGAAAGACACACTTAGGGGGATACAAAATGCAGTGGAAAGTTTCAACAATGGACTAGAACAAGGAGAAGAAACAATTTCAGAGCTCAAAGACAAAGCTTTTAAATTAACACAGTCAGATAAAAACAAGTAAAACATAATAGAAGAAAAAATGATAAAGCCTCCAAGTAATCTGTGATTATGTTAAGGGGCCAAACAAAAATAATTGAAGTTCCTGAGGAAGAGGAGAAATCTAAAGGTTGGAAAACTTATTTGAGTGAATAATTGAGGAAAACTTCCTTGATCTTGCTAGAGATCTAGACATCCAAATACAAGAAGCTCAAAGAACACATGAGAAAGTTATAAAAAAAAATAACCACCTAGACATATTAATCAGGTTATCTAAAGTCAAGATGAAGGGAAGAATTTTAAGGGCTGAGAGACAAAAGCATCAAATAACATATAAAGGAAAACCTATCAGATTAACAGCAGATTTCTCAGAAGAAAGCTTACAAGCCAAAAGGAATTGGGGTTCTATTTTTAGCCTCCTGAAACAAAATAATTATTAGACAAGAAATTTGTTCCAGCAACACTAAGCTTCATAAATGAAGGAGAAATAAATTCTTTTTCAGACAAATAAATGCTAAGATAATTCACCACTACTAAGCCAGCACTACAAGAAATGCTAAAAGGAGTTCTAAATCTTGAAACAAACTCTCAAAATACACCAAAATAGATCCTCCTTAAAGCATAAATCTCACAGGGCCTATGAAACAATAACATAATGAGAAAAAAAAAACAAGATATTAGGCAACAAATAACATGAAGAATAGAACAATACCTCACATCTCTATATTAATGTTGAATGTAGATGCCTTAAATGATTAATTTACAAGATACAGAGTGGCAGAATGGATATAAATTCACCAATCAAGTATCTGCTGTTTTCAAGAGACTCACTTAACACATAAGAACTCACATAAATTTCAGGTAAAGGGATAAAAAAAATTCATGCACATGGAAACCAAAAGCAAGCATAAACAGCTATTTTTATATCAGACAAAATAGACTTTAAAGCAGCAACAGTAAAAAAGACAAAGAGGGACATTATATAACAATAAAAAGAATAGTCAAGCAAGACAGTGTCACAATCCTAAATATATATGCACCTAACACTGGAGCTTCCAAACTTACAAAACAATTAATACCAGACTTAAGAAATGAGATAGATGGTGACACAATAACAGCAGGGCACTCCAATACGCCACTGACAGCACTAGGCAGGTCATCAAAAAAAGAGCCAACAATAAAAAATTGACTTAAATTATACACTAGAACTAAATAACTTAACAGATATTTACAGAATATTCTACCCAGAAATGACAAAATGTACATTCTTTTCTTTACCATGTGAACATTCTCCAAGACAGACCATATGACAAGTCACAAAAGAAATCTCAATAAAATAAAAAAATGAAAATTATATCAAGTATCCACTTAGACCACTGTGGAATAAAACTGGAAATTAACTCTAAAGCAAACCCTCAAAATTATGAAAATATATGAAAATTAAATAATCTGCTTTTGAAGGATCTTTGGGTCAAAAATGAAATCAAGATAAATATTAAAATTTTTTTTGAACTGAATCTAATAGTGATAAAACTTATTAAAACCTCTGGAATACAGCAAAAGTGGTGCTAAAGGTTTATAGCATTAAATGCCTACATCCAAGAGTCTGAAAGAGCAAAAATAGCAACAATCTAAGGTCACACCTTAAGGAACTAGAGAAGCAAGAACATACCAAACCCAAACCCAGCAGAACGAAGGAACTAACAAAGAACAGAGTAGAACTAGATAAAATTGAAACAACAATAAAAAGATAGAAAAGCTAAATAAAGCTGGTTATTTGAAAAGATAAATAAAATTAATAAACCATCAGTGAGATTAACCAAGAAAAGAAGAGAGAAGAATCAAATAAGCTCAATTAGATGTTACAACTGATACCAGAGAAATACAAAAGTTCATTCAAGCGTACTATGAACACCTTTACACACAAAGTAGAAAATTTAAAGGACACAGATAAATTGTTGGAAATATATAACTCCCTCTCAGATTAAATCAGGAAGAAATAGAGGCTCTGAATAGACCAATGACAAGTAGCTAGATTGAAACAGTAATTTAAAAAATTGCTGACAAACTCAGGACCAAATTGATTCACAGTTGAATTGTATCAGACATTCAAAGAAGAATTGATACCAATCTTACTGAAACTATTTCAAAATTTAGAGAAAGAGGGACTCCTCCCTGAATCATTCTATGAAGCTTGTATTACTGTAATTTTAAAACCAGAAAAGGACATAACAAAAAATGAAAACTACAGATCAATATCCCTAATGAACATAGATAGAAAAATCTTCAACAAAATGCTAGCTAACCAAATCCAACAGCATATCAGAAAGATAATTCACCATGATCAAGTGGGTTTTATACCAGGGATGCAGGGATGTTTGAACATATGCAAATCAATAAATGTCATATATCGCATACACAGAATTAAAAACAATAAGTATATAATCATCCCAACAGATGCAGAAAAAGCATTTGACAAAATCTAGCATATCCCTTTATGATTAAAACCCTCAGCAAAATTGGTATAGGAGGGACACACCTCAAGGTAACAAAAGCCATCTATGACAACCACAGCCAACATTATACTAAATGCGGAAAAGTTGAAAGCATTCCTCCTGAGAACTGGAACAAAACAAGGATACCCAGTTTGATTACTTCTATTGAACATAGTAGTGGGAGTCTTTGCCAGAGCAATTAGACAAGAGAGTGAAATGAAAGGCATCCACATTGGGAAAGAGGAAGTCAAACTGTTGCCGTTCACTGATGCTAGGATCATATACCTAGAAAACCCTAAAGACTCATCCAAAAAGTTTCTAGATCTGATAAATGAATTCAGTACAGTTTCAGGATACAAAATCAGTGTACACAAATTAATAGCACTGCAATACACCAAAAATAAACAAGCTGAGAAACAAATTAAGAACTCAATCCCTTTTACAAGGGCTACAAAAAAATTTTACAAAATACTAGAAATATACCTAACAAAGAAGGTAAAGGATCTTTACAAGGAAAACTACAAAACACTGCTGAAAGAAATTACCAACAACACAAACAAATGAAAACACTTCTCATGCTCATGAATGGGTAGAATCAATATTGTGAAAATGACCATATGGCCAAAAGCAATCTACAGATTCAATGCAATTACCATCAAAGTACCATCATCATTCTTCACAAAATTAGAAAAAAATCCTAAAATTTATACAGAACCAAAAAGAACCCACATAGCCTAGAAAGACTAAGCAAAAAGAGCAAATCTGGAGGCATCATATTACTCAAATTCAAGCTATACTACAAGGATATAGTTAACAAAACAGCATAGTCCTCGTATAAAAATAGGCATGTAGAGTGGTTGAACAGAATAGAGAACCCAGATATAAAGCCAAATACTTACACCAACTGATCATCAACAAAACAAACAAAAACTTAAAGTGGGGAAAGGACATCTTATTCAACAAATGGTTCTGGGATAATTAGCAAGCCACATGTAGAAGAATGAAACTGGATTCTTAGCTCCACCTTATACAAAAATCAAATCAAGATGGATCAAAGACTTAAATCTAAGTCCTGAGGCTATAAAAATTCTGGAAGATAACATCAGAAAAACTCTTCTAGACATTGTCTTAGGCAAAGAATTCATGACCAAGAACACAATAGCAAATGCAACAAAAACAAACAAATGAGATGTAATTAAACTAAAATCTTCTGCACAGCAAAAGAAATAATCAACAAACAGACAACCCACAGACTAGGTGAGAAAATATTCCCAAACTATGCATCCAACAAAGGACTAATATCCAGAATCTACAATGAACTCAAACAAATCAGCAAGAAAAAAAATGATCTCATCAAAAATAGGCAAAGGTATGAATAAACAATTTTCAAAAGAAGATATACAAATGGCCAACAAACATTTTAGAAATTCTCAACATCATGAATTATCAGGTTAATGCAAATTAAAATTACAATGAAATATCACTTTACTCCTGCAAAAGTGGTCATAAATAAAAAAAAATAGATGTTGGTATGCATGTGGTGAAAAGGGGACACTTTTACACTGCTGGTGAGAATGTAAATTAGCACAACTACTATGAAAAAACAGTATGGAGATTCCTTAAACAACTAAAAGTAGAACTACCATTTGATCCTGCAGTCCCCCTGCTGTGTATCCACCCAGAGGAAAAGAAGTCATTATATGAAAAAGACACTTACACACGCATATTTATAGCAGGACAATTCCTAATTACAAAAATATGGAACCACCCTAAATACCCATCAACCACTGAGTGGATAAAGAAAATGTGATAGACATACACCATGAAATACTACTCAGCCATAAAAAGGAATGAAATAATGAATTTTGCATCAACTTGGATGGAACTGGAGGCCATTATTCTAAGTGAAGTAACTCAGGAATCAAAAACCAAATATTATCTGTTCTTACTTATAATTGGGAGCTAAGCTATGAGGATGCAAAGGCAAAAGAATGATATAATGGACATTGGGGACTCAAGGAAATGTGGGGAAGGGAGGGATAAAAGACTACACTTTGGGTACAGTGTATACACTCTTTTGACAGGTGTACCAAAGTCTCAGAAATTACCATTAAATTACTTATCCATGTAGTCAAAAACCACCTGTTCCCCAAACAATTAAAATTTTATGTTAAAAAAATAGGGGTTTTAGCAGCCCATGATGAAAAAAAAATACTTCGTTCATTCATATGTGTTCATATTCAGCTAATTGATGTTTTTATGCTAATTTTTTGTTTCTTGTTGAAGTCCTAGTTAATAGTAGTTTCTACCAGGACCTGAAAATTCTACATTCTATGTTATTTATGGAAACTGAAGTTTGTTGGTGTCTACCAGCTAGAGTGAATAAAGATAGAATATTCTGATAAGAGTAGCAGTTCTTTCTGCAAACATTGTTCCTATGCTGTTTTCTTTTCCAGATTTAGTTCTACCACTGAACCTTAAAAACTGACAATCTCAAAAACACATTGCATGAATGAATAAAGAGTCTTTCTGACTTCAAAGCTTAAATAATTCTAAAAATTCTACAGATAATATCAAATTATTTGGTTAAATATTTTTCAAAGAGTGTGAATTTTTTTTTTTTTAGTGTTACGTTCTTTTTTTAATATACTTTAAGTTTCAGGGTACATGTGCACAACGTACGGGTTTGTTACATATGTATACATGTGCCATGTTGGTGTGCTGCACCCACCAACTAGTCATTTAGCATTAGGTATATCTCCTAATGTTATCCCTCACCCCTCCCCTGACCCCACAACAGTCCCCGGTGTGTGATGTTCCCCTTCCTGTGTCCATGTGTTCTCATTGTTCAATTCCCACGTATGAGTGAGAACATGTGGTATTTGGTTTTTTGTCCTTGTGATAGTTTGCTCAGAATGATGGTTTCCAGCTTCATCCATGTCCCTACAAAGGACATGAGCTCATCATTTTTTATGGCTGCTTAGTATTCCATTGTGTATATGTGCCACATTTTCTTAATCCAGTCTATCATTGTTGGACATTTGGCTTGGTTCCAAGTCTTTTCTATTGTGAATAGTGCTGCAATAAGCATACGTGTGCATGTGTCTTTATAGCAGCATGATTTAAAATCCTTTGCATATATACCCAGTAATGGGATGGCTGGGTCAAATGGTATTTCTCATTCTAGATCCCTGAGGAATTGCCACACCAACTTCCACAATGGTTGAACTAGTTTACAGTCCCACCAACAGTGTAAAAGTGTTCCTATTTCTCCACATCCTCTCCAGCACCTATTGTTTCCTGACTTTTTCATGATCACCATTCTAACTGGTGTGAGACGGTATCTCATTGTGGTTTTGATTTGCATTTCTCTGATGGTCAGTGATGATGAGCATTTTTTCATGTGTTTTTTGTCTGCATAAATGTCTTCTTTTGAGAATTGTCTGTTCATATCCTTCACCCACTTGTTGATGGGGTTGTTTGTTTTTTTCTTGTAAATTTGTTGGAGTTCATTGTAGATTCTGGATATTAGCCCTTTGTCAGATGAGTAGGTTGTGAAATTTTTCTCCCATTATGTAGGTTGCCTGTTCACTCTGATGGTAGTTTCTTTTGCTGTGCAGAAGTTCTTTAGTTTAATTAGATCCCATTTGTCAATTTTGGCTTTTGTTGTCATTGCTTTTGGTGTTTTAGACATGAAGTCCTTGCCCATGTCTATGTCCTGAATGGTATTGCCTAGGTTTTCTTCTAGGATTTTTGTGGTTTTAGGTCTAACATGTAAGTCTTCAATCCATCTTGAATTAATTTTTGTATAAGGTGTAAGGAAGGGATCCAGTTTCAGCTTTCTAAATCTGGCTAGCCAGTTTTCCCAGCACCATTTATTAAATAGGGAATCCTTTCCCCATTGCTTGTTTCTGTCAGATTTGTCAAAGATCAGATATTTGTAGATATGTGGCATTATTTCTGAGGATTCTGTTCTGTTCCCTTTGTCTATATCACTGTTTTGGTACCAGTACCATGCTGTTTTGGTTACTGTAGCCTTGTAGTTTAGTTTGAAGTCAGGTAGCCTGATGCCTCCAGCTTTGTTCTTTTGGCTTAGGATTGACTTGGAAATGCAGGCTCTTTTTTGGTTCCATATGAACTTTAAAGTAGTTTTTTCCAATTCTGTGAAGAAAGTCATTGGTTGCTTGATGGGGATGGCATTGAATCTATAAATTACCTTGGGCAGTATGGCCATTTTCATGATATTTATTCTTCCTGCCCATGAGCATGGAATGTTCTTCCATTTGTTTGGATCCTCTTTTATTTCATTGAGCAGTGGTTTGTAGTTCTCCTTGAAGAGGTCCTTCACATCCTTTGGAAGTTGGATTCCCAGGTATTTTGTTCTATTTGAAGCAATTGTGAATGCGAGTCCACTCATGATTTGGCTCTCTGTTTGTCTGTTATTGGTGTATAAGAATGCTTGTAATTGTTGCACATTGATTTTGTATTCTGAGACTTTGTTGAAGTTGCTTATCAGCTTAAGGAGATTTTGGGCTGAGACAATGGGGTTTTCTAGATACACAATCATGTCATCTGCAAACAGGGACAATTTGACTTCCTCTTTTCCTAATTGAATGCCCTTTATTTCCTTCTTCTGCCTGATTGCACTGGCCAGAACTTCCAACACTATGTTGAAAAGGAGTGGTGACAGAGGGCATCCCTGTCTTGTGCCAGTTTTCCAAGGGAATGCTTCCAGTTTTTGTCCATTCAGTATGATAGTGGCTGTGGGTTTGTCATAGATAGCTCTTATTATTTTGAGATACGTCCCATCAATACCTAATTTATTGAGAGTTTTTAGCATGAAGCATTGTTGAATTTTGTTAAAGGCATTTTCTGCATCTATTGAGATAATCATGTGGTTTTTGTCTTTGGTTCTGTTTATATGCTGGATTATGTTTATTGATTTTTGTCTGTTGAACCAGCCTTGCATCCCAGGGATGAAACCCACTTGATCATGGTGGATAAGTTTTTTAATGTGTTGCTGGATTCGGTTTGCAAGTATTTTATTGAGGATTTTTGCATCGATGTTCATCAAGGATATTGGTCTAAAATTCTTTTTTTGTTGTTGTTGTGTCTCTGCCAGGCTTTGGTATCAGGATGATCCTGGCCTCATAAAATGAGTTAGGGAGGATTTCCTCTTTTTCTATTGATTGGAATAGTTTCAGAAGGAATGGTACCAGCTCCTCCTTGTACCTCTGGTAGTATTCGGCTGTGAATCCATCTGGTCCTGGACTTTTTTTGGTTGGTAAGCTATTAATGATTGCCTCAATTTCAGATCCTATTATTGGTGTATTCAGAGATTCAACTTCTTCCTGGTTTAGTCTTGGGATAGTGTATGTATCGAGGAATTTATCCATTTCTTCCAGATTTTCTAGTTTATTTGTGTAGAGATGTTTGTAGTATTCTCTGATGGTAGTTTGTATTTCTGTGGGATTGGTGGTGATATCCCCTTTGACATTTTTTATTGTGTCTATTTGATTCTTCTCTCTTTTCTTCTTTATTAGTCTTGCTAGCAGTCTATCTATTTTGTTGATCTTTTCAAAAAACCAGCTCCTGGATTCATTGATTTTTTGAAGGGTTTTTTGTGTCTCTATTTCCTTCAGTTCTGTTCAGATTTTAGTTATTTCTTGCCTTCTGCTAGCTTTTGTATGTGTTTGCTCTTGCTTTTCTAGTTCTTTTCATTGTGATGTTAGGGTGCCAATTTTGGATCTTTCCTGCTTTCTCTTGTGGGCATTTAGTGCTACAAATTTCCCTCTACACACTGCTTTGAATGTGTCCCAGAGATTCTGGTATGTTGTGTCTTTGTTCTCGTTGGTTTCAAAGAACATCTTTATTTCTGCCTTCATTTGGTTATGTACCCAGTAGTCATTCAGGAGCAGGTTGTTCAGTTTCCATGTAGTTGAGTGGTTTTGAGTGAGTTTCTTAATCCTGAGTTCTAGTTTGATTGCACTGTGGTCTGAGAGACAGTTTGTTATAATTTCTGTTCTTTTACATTTGCTGAGGAGAGCTTTACTTCCAAGTATGTGGTCAATTTTGGAATAGGTGTGGTGTGGTGCTGAAAAAAATGTATCTTCTGTTGATTTGGGGTGGAGAGTTCTGTAGATGTCTATTAGGTCCGCTTGGTGCAGAGCTGAGTTCAATTGCTGGATATCCTTGTTAACTTTCTGTCTCATTGATCTGTCTAATGTTAACAGTGGGGTGTTAAAGTCTCCCAGTATTATTGTGTGGGAGTCTAAGTCTCTTTGTAGGTCACTCAGGACTTACTTTATGAATCTGGGTGCTCCTGTATTGGGTGCATATATATTTAGGAAAGTTAGTTCTTCTTGTTGAATTGATCCCTTTACCATTATATAATGGCCTTCTTTGTCTCTTTTGATCTTTGTTGGTTTAAAGTCTGTTTTATCAGAGACTAGGATTGCAACCGCTGCCTTTTTTTGTTTTCCATTTGCTTGGTAGATCTTCCTCCATCCTTTTATTTTCAGCCTATGTGTGTCTCTGCACGTGAGATGGGTTTCCTGGATACAGCACACTGACGGGTCTTGGCCTTTTATCAAATTTGCCAGTCTGTGCCCTTTAATTGGAGCATTTAGCCCATTTACATTTAAGGTTAATATTGTTATGTGTGAATTTGATCCTGTCATTATGATAGTAGCTGGTTATTTTACTCATTAGTTGATGCAGTTTCTTCCTAGCCTTGATGGTCTTTATAATTTGGCATGTTTTTGCAGTGGCTGGATATGTTTCCATGTTTAGTGCTTCTTTCAGGAGCTCTTTTAGGGCAGGCCTGGTGGTGACAAAATCTCTCAGCATTTGCTTGTCTGTAAAGTATTTTATTTCTCCTTCACTTATGAAATTTATTTTGGCTGGATATGAAATTCTGAGTTGATAATTCTTTTCTTTAAGAGTGTTGAATATTGGCCCCCACTCTCTTCTGGCTTGTAGAGTTTCTGCCGAGAGATCAGCTGTTAGTCTGATGGGCTTCCCTTTGTGGGTAACCCAACCTTTCTCTCTGACTGCCGTTAACATTTTTTCCTTCATTTCAACTTTGGTGAATCTGACAATTATGGGACTTGGAGTTGCTCTTCTCAAGGAGTATCTTTGTGGCATTCTCTGTATTTCCTGAATCTGAATGTTGGCCTGCCTTGCTAGATTGGGGAAGTTCTCCTGGATAATATCCTGCAGAGTGTTTCCCAACTCGGTTCCATTCTCCCCTTCACTTTCAGGTACACCAATCAGATGTAGATTTGGTTTTTTCACATAGTCCCATATTTCTTGGAGGCTTTGTTCTTTTCTTTTTATTCTTTTTTCTCTAAACTTCTCTTTACACTTCATTTCATTCATTTTGTCTTCCATCACTGATACCCTTTCTTCCAGTTGATTGCATCGGTTACTGAGGCTTGTGCATTCATCAAGCAGTTCTTGTTTTCAGCCTCATCAGGTCCTTTAAGGACTTCTCTGCATTGGTTATTTTAGTTATCCATTCACCTAATTTTTTTTTCAAAGTTTTTTACTTCTTTGCCATTGGTTCGAACTTCTTTCTTTAGTTTGGAGTAGTTTGATCTTCTGAAGCCTTCTTCTCTCAACTCGTCAAAGTCATTCTCCATCCAGCTTTGTTCCATTTCTGGTGAGGAGCTGTGTTCCTTTGGAGGAGGAGAGGTGCTCTGATTTTTAGAGTTTCTAGTTTTTCTGCTCTGTTTTTTCTCCATCTTTGTGGTTTTCTCTATCTTTGGTCTTTGATGATGGTGACGTACAGATGGGTTTTGGTGTGGATGTCCTTTCTGTTTTTTAATTTTCCTTCTAACAGTCAGGACCCTCAGCTGCAGGTCTGTTGGAGTTTACTGGAGGTCCACTCCAGACCCTGTTTGCCTGGGTATCAGCAGCGGTGGCTGCAGAACAGCAGATACTGGTGAACCACAAATGCTGCTGCCTGATTGTTCCTCTGGAAGTTTTGTCTCACAGGAGTACCCAGCTGTGTGAGGTGTCAGCCTGCCACTACTGGGGGTTCCTCACAGTTAGGCTACTCGGGGGTCAGGGTCCCACTTGAGGAGGCAGTCTGCCTGTTCTCAGATCTCAAGCTGCATGCTGGGAGAACCACTACTCTCTACAAAGCTGTCAGACAGGGACATTTAAGTCTGCAGAGGTGATTGCTGTCTTTTGTTTGTCTTTGCCCTGCCCCCAGAGGTGGAGCCTACAGAGGCAGGCAGTCCTCCTTGAGCTGTGGTGGGCTCCACCCAGTTCGAGCTTCCAGGCTGCTTTATTTACCTACTCAAGCCTGGGCAATGGCAGGCGCCCCTCCTCCAGCCTCGCTGCCGCCTTGCAGTTTGATCTCAGACTGCTGTGCTAGCAATGAGTGAGGCTCTATGCGCATAGGACCCTCCAAAGCAGGTGCAGGATATAATCTCCTGGTGTGCCGTTTGTTAAGCCCATTGGAAAAGTGCAGTATTAGGGTGGGAGTGACCTGATTTTCCAGGTGCCATCTGTCACCCCTTTCTTTGACTAGTAAAGGGAATTCCCTGACCCCTCACGCTTCCCAGGTGAGGCAATGCCTCGCCCTGCTTTGGCTTATGCAGGGTGTGCTGCACCCACTGTCCTGCACCCATTGTCCGGCACTCCCCAGTGAGATGAACCCGGTACCTCAGTTGGAAATGCAGAAATCACTCATCTTCTGCGTTGCTCAGGCTAGGAGCTGTAGACTGGAGCTCTTCCTATTTGGCCATCTTGGCTCCACTCCCCAAATGTGAATATTTCTAGAAAAGTCTTCTCTCAAAAAAAATGTGATTTA
The DNA here is from genome assembly GCF_000001405.40 of Homo sapiens. Classification (NCBI taxonomy): domain Eukaryota; kingdom Metazoa; phylum Chordata; class Mammalia; order Primates; family Hominidae; genus Homo; species Homo sapiens. The sequence goes on along the minus strand of NC_000024.10, from coordinate 4,418,597 downwards.
CCCCATTGTCATTTCTATCTCATAAGAAGAGTTAGTTGTAATCTCTACTGACATAGAAGATAGGATTTCAATTTTGGCTTTATATCAGAAGTACCCAAAGAAATTTAAAAATTCAAATGCATGTTCACTCTGATGATAGTTTCTTTTGCTATGCAGAAGCTCTTTATTTTAATTTGATCCCATTCATCAACATTGGCTTTGGGTGCATTTGCTTTTGGTGTTTTAGTCATGAAGTCTTTGCCCATGCCTAGGTCCTGAATGGTATTGCCTAGAATTTTTTCAAGGGTGTTTATGGTTTCAGGTTTTACATTTAAGTATTTAATTCATCTTGACTTAATTTCTTTATAAGGTGTTAGGAAGGGGTCCAGTTTGAGTTTTCTGCATATGGCTAGCCAGTTTTCCCAGCACCATTTATTAAAAAAGAAAATTTTTCCCCATTGCTTGTTTTTGTCAGCTTTGTAGAAGACCGTATGGTTGTAGATGTGTGGTGTTATTTTTGAGGCCTCTGTTCTGTTCCATTGGTCCACATATCTGTTTGGTACCATTGCCATGATGTTTTGGTTACTGTAGCCTTGTAGTATACTTTGAAGTCAGGTGGTGTGATGCCTCCAGCTTTGTTCCTTTTGCTTAAGTTTGTCTTGGGTATAGGGGTCTTTTGGTTCCATATAAAATTTAAAGTAGTTTTTTCAATTTCTGTGAAGAAAGTCACTGGTAGCTTGATGGGAGTAGCATTGAATCTGTGAATTACTCTGGGCAGTATGGCCATTTTCTTGATATTGATTCTTCCTATGCATGAGCATGGAATTTTTTTTTATTTGTTTATGTCCTCTCTTATTTCCTTGAGCAGTGGTTTGTAGTTCTCCTCAAAGCAGTCCTTCATGTCCCTTATAAGTTGTACTCCTAGGTATTTTATTCTTTTGTAGCAATTGTGAATGGGAATTCACTCATGATTTGGCTCTCTGTTTTTCTATTATTGGATTTTACGAATGCTTGTGATTTTTGCACATTGGTTTTGTATCCTGAGGCTTTACTGAAGTTTCTTAACAGCTTAAGGAGTTTTGGGGCTGAGACAATGGGGTTTTCTAAATACACAATCATGTCTTCTACAAACAGAGACGATTTTACTTCCTCTTGTCCTATTTGAATACTCTATTTCTTTCTCTTGCCTGATAGCCCTGACCAGAACTTCCAATATGATGTTGAATAGGAGTGATGAGAGAGAGCATCCTTGTCTTGTGCCAATTTTCAAACAGAATGCTTCCAGCTTTTGCCCATTCAGTATGATATTGGCTATGGGTTTGTCATAAATAGCTCTTATTATTTTGGGATATTTTGATTGAACAGGCAACCTACAGAATGGGAGAACATTTTAGGAATCTATCCATCTGACGAGGGGCTAATATCCAGAACCTATAAGAAGCATAAACAAATTTACAAGAAAAAAACAATCCCATCAAAAACTGGGCAAAGGATATGAACAGATACTTCTCAAAAGAGGACATTTATGCAGCCAACAACATATGAAAAAAAGTTCGTCATCACTGGTCATTAGAGAAACAAAAATCAAAACCACAATGAGATACCATCTCATGCCAGTTAGAATGACAATCATGAAAAGTCAGATAGCAACAGTTGCTGGAGACGATGTGGAGAAATGGAATGCTTTTGCACTGTTGGTGGGAGTGTAAATTAGTTCAACCATTGTGGAAGGCAGTGTGGCAATTCCTCAATGATCTAGATCCAGAAATACCATTTGACCCAGCAATCCTATTACTGCATATCTACCCAAAGGATTATAAATCATTCTACTATAAAGAAACATGCACATGTATGTTTATTGCAGCACAATTTACAATAGTGAAGACTTGGAACCAATCCAAATGTCCATCAATGATAGACTGGATAAAGAAAATGTGGTGCATATATACCATGGAATACTATGCAGCTATGAAAAAGAATGAGTTCATGTCTTTTGCAGGGACATGGATGAAGCTGGAAACCATCATTCTCAGCAGGCTAACACAGAAACAGAAAACCAAATGCTGCATGTTCTTACTCATAAATGGGAGTTGAAAAAAGAGAACACGTGGACACAGGAAGGGGACATCACACACCGGGGCCTGTCGGGGGGTGGGGGTCAAGGGGAGGGAGAACATTAGGACAGATACCTAGTGCATACAGGTCTTAAAACCTAGATGATGGGTTGATGGGTGCAGCAAGCCACCATGGCACCTGTATTACCTATGTAACAAACCTGCATGTTCTGCACATGTTTCCCAGAACTTAAAGTATAATAAAAAATTAATTAAAAAAACTCAAAATCTCTGAAAGAAGTATCCAGGCATCCTTATTTCTTGAAGCTATATAAGTATTTCTAACGTGTAGCTAAGTTTGAAAATCACTGATCTAGAAAATTTTTTCATGTTTTCTAATTCCTTCTTAGTATTCTCAGCTTTTCCTCATTTACCAGACATAAAACATGGAGTTCAAGAAACAGGAAGGCTAAATTATAGTTTTTCAACTTGTGGTTCCCAGATCAGTAATATCAATATCATATGGAAACTCGTTAGAAAAGTAAGCTTTGGGACTTCACCCTGCATTTAGTAAATCAGAAGCTTTAGAATGGAGTGAATGGAGTGCAGCAATCTGTGTTTTAACAAGACTTCCAACTGATTCAGATGCATGCACAATTTTCAGAAACACTGGCCTAAATGAATAGCATTTGGAAAAAGCAACAAAAGCTTTGCAAGATTGAAAGGAAAATAGGGAGGATTATTACAGTAATATATAATAAAAATATATGATATCACCCAATTCAAAGATTACGTGTGAACCAATGAAAGATAAGCCAAAATATCAAGATCATAATCTCTGTAGGCAGTGTGATATTGTTTATAGATGTAAATTTTTATCCAACATAACTGATAAAAATAGGCATAACAACAAGGATTATTAATCTCTGGTCATAAGGGAGCAAGGAGAAGTTACAATTTTTTTGGATTCCAAGAAGTAATGTTATCTGGAAATTCATTTCCCAAAAAGTGTATTTTATCATATATTTTTCAAAAACTACATTTGAAAATTTACATGTAAATTTCTATTAATAATCAAGTGTAAAGTCAACAATTTAGGAGGCTTTTTAATATAAAAATGCTAAATCAATTATCATCCAGCTAATTTTGATAATTAAAATGTTACTTTACTTACAAATTAAAACTATAACATTTTGTGGCAGATTTATCATTAATTTCTAATGTGTTTCAAATATAAAAAGCTATCAAATGTAAAACTATATAAACTGCTGGGTAAAATTTCAATTATATTATGACAGAAATAAGGCTATAAATAGTTTTGGTAGGGAATTTGTTAAAAAAAAATGAAAAACCTTATATCCCAGTGTTATTATCAGTGATTAAAAGAGATTATTAAAAAATGTGTTGATATATCCATTTGACCCCAAAAAGAGTTTGGTAAATCTACTTTTATGTGATGTAAAATTAATAGCTTCTATTTATAGGCTGGTTATTAAGCAATCCAGAATGTAACAACTTAGCCAAATACCAGTCAGTTGTTCCAATGAGTTATTTTCTTATATATTTATTATAACCATATAATTAATGTTATTCTTACACAGTGTACTCATAACTAATAACTGACTTTTTAAAAAGGGAAAAGGAAAACAATGATCTATTTTATTTAAATGATGTGCTGATGATTAATTTTTATGTCCTATTAGCCAGGCTTTGGTGCCAAATTGCACAACCCATATTTTGTAGATGTAATTAACTTTTGTAATCAGTTAAATTTAAGCAGAGTATACCACTCTCAATAACACACAATTAGTTGGAGGTATTAAGAGGTAAAACTGAGGTGTACTGGAGAAGAAGAAATTCTGCCTCAACACTAATTTGAAAATCTTGTCTCCTTTTCTAGCTTGCTGACAGGCCTTTCAGATTTCAGACTTGCCAGACCCCATAATTGCCTGAGTCAATTTCTGAAAATTTATCTCTTTCTCTCTCCCACTCTCCATCTATGTGTGTGTGTGTGTGTGTGTGTGTGTGTGTGTGTACATATATGTATGTATATGTGCCTTTGAAGAACATAAAGGTTAAGGGCACCAACTCCCTATTCAGTTGAAAAACTGTGTATAATTTTTGACCTATTTGGTTCAAAATACTAATAATTAATTTTTATTACCTAGATACTGTGCTTTTGAAAACTACCTTATATAAAATTTATAAAATTTAAGGGCTAACAAGAGCTTGAAAATAAAAAATATATTTTTATAATAAAAAAGACACACATGACTTTTTTCTTATTTTCTGTCTAATCCAAATGATAAATACATCTATCACATTGATTAATTTCTGTGGAAATTCAATCACACTTTCTAAAATGGTACTTAGTGCAGGAATGCAACTATATATTGATTTTATGATGTAGGTACTTTATTGAATAAATGCATACTGCAATACAAAGAGTCAATCAATCAAACAAATTAGATAAATTATTGCAAGGAATGTAGAGAAATCAATGCATAAAAAGCTTTTATGTTTGATGTGTCAACCAATCATACTGCAGCTCATCGAACTATATTTGGGTTGTGGAATGACCTCTTTTCTACACTTTACATCTGAATAATAGACTATTACTCATTCAAGATGACAGGAAACTAAGATTGCTGTCTCCAACAACAATTTTCACATAAATGTACTTAGAAGAAAAGAGGCATCTTAAATGCATCATCCCCCCAACCCCACACATGAATGCATATTATTTCATAGAAAATTGGCACATTGCAATTTTGGCACTCAACCAAACATATCATATATTTTAAGTAGTTCTTGGCATTTAGATATCACACACACTCTTTCTATAAATTAGCTTATCCAAATTTAGTATCCAGGTAAAACTGTAAAATAGTTTTAATAAATTAAGAACAAAATTAAAGGATAGCTATTTTCAGAACAAAAAGTATAGTGTGTTATTTAAAATATCTAAAGAAAAAATAGTCCCTTCAACATTTTATATTACATATTCCTCATATGAGGAAAAATAGCAACAATATTCTATCACCAGCAGTATCACCACAACAACCAGTATCACCATCTACATTTTAAAAGTATTAAAATGTGCATACAGTAAAATCATAGGGCTAGGACTGACAAGCTTTGCCAACAGCCAGGAGTAAAAATGTGACATATATACTATGAATAGTGAAATCAACTTGGTTCCCCAATTTCCAATTGTCAAAAACTGCTACATAAAAAACAATTTCTATATTTTTTTCTATTGAGGGTAACTAAAATGATAGATCTGCCAAAGACTTGATTAGAACTAGACATGGAATTGCTCCTATCTGTTATAATATTTTGACCTAACAACTTTCATATGATTTGATCATTCATCATATAGTTAGAATTGAAATTCTAACCAATAATTTCCATTTGTCAGAAATACTAAGGCACTCTTATACAACAGTATAGAAAATAAAATAAAAGTTGAAGTGCTGGTCTTTTAGAGTCAGGCGTTGTTGTCTTAGTACATCTACTCATTGATTTCACTTGCTCATGCACTAAAATCTCTTGAATAATACTAATAGCACTCTTAATTTATTCTGTAAGAGTTCAATCATTTAAAATTATGGAGATTATATTATTTTAGTGGTCTTCAACTAACTAAGCTTAATATCACAGAAACAAAACCACTGAGATACTACTATATGCCACCAGGTATTATTATCTTTTGAAATTCAACATTGTGGGTGCAAGCAATATAATACGCCTTAAACTCAGTTCTTCCTGGTTGTACCAATATCTATTTTTAAAAGACATGTTTCATGATACAAAGAAAACAACAAATGATCCATTGGTAGGTGAAAAGGTCAAGATTAAAAGGGAGCAAATCTGTATTCTACCAATAGTTCTGCTACTAAGTAAATAATCTTTAATGTTTCACTCTATAAAATTGGAGCATCTTTATATCTATAAATTTCTACTACCATACTCTGCACACAAAATTTGGCTAAGGGCGTATTCATAGTGTTAGAATAGTTAAAAATCTCAATGACTTACAAAATAAAGATAATGTATATTATAGGCAATTACAATCAGATATGGTACTGGATTGTCATCCCTCTCTCTGTCTCTACTCTTCTTTATTCCCTTCTCATACATATATGCACACATGAATATGTGCGCATGCACACACACACACTTTATAACATTTTGAAAAGCTGTCAAATGGATTTGGTCACATTAAAGCATCTATCTAGAATTCTATTTACAGATACACATAGAAGAAGAAAATCAAACTGTTGGGGAAACCCTATTGTGAGTTTAAATTTTAGAACTTTATTCACAATTTTAGAAAGGCTATTTGAAAGAGCTCATCTTCCTTGGTAGTCTTTACATTTTTGCCTGAGAATTTTCAGGAAAACATATGCTATCTGAAAATTACTTGTCTAGAGATTGTTTAACTGTATGTCTTCTACATTATGAGCATGAATAATCCATGGATTTAGAAGTTGGCACATTCTCTAATTTCTTCCTTTCATCTCTATGAACACAAGCTAAAAAAACCTAGAAAAAAATGGATAAATTCCTGGAAACACACAACCTTCCTAGATTAAACCACAAGTAAATTGAATTCTTGAGCAGATCAATAATGAGTTCCAAAATTGAATCAGTAATAAAAAGCCTACCAAAGAGAAAAAGCCCAGGAGCAGACAAATTCATAGACAAATTCTTCTAGATGTACAAAGAAGAGGGGGTACCATTTCTGTTGAAAATATTCCATATAACTTGAGGAGGAGAAATTCCTCTCTAACTCGTTCTATGAGGCCAGGGCCATCCTGATGACAAAACCTGGGACATACATACACACACACACACACACACAAACACACAAATTCAGGCTAATATCTTTGAAGAAAAATAGATGCAAAAATATTTATCAAATTACTAGCAAACCAAACTAAACAGCACATCAAAAAGTTTATCCACCATAATCAAGTTGGTTTTTACCCCTGAGATGCAAGGTTGGTTTAACATATGTAAATAAATAAATTTAATTCATCCCATAAGCAGAACTAAAAACAAAGACTACATGATCATCTCAATAGATTCAGAAAAGGTTTTAGATAAAATTCAACTCCTTCCTTGTTAAAAATCTTCAAAAAACTAGAAACTTTACTTCAAAATAATTAAAAGAACATACTTCAAAATAATAAAATTTATCTATGATAAATCCATGGCCAACATCACATTGAAGGGACAAAAGCTGGAAACATTCCCTTGAGAAGCAGGCCAAGACATTAATGCTCTCTCTCACCACTCAAACTTTTTACTGGAAGTCCTAGCCAGAGCAATTAGATAAGAGAAAGAAATAATAGGCATCAAAATAGAAAGAAAGGAAGTCCAACTATCCTTTTTTTTAGATTATATTATTCTATACCTAGAAAACCCCATAGCCTCTGCCCAAAAGTTTCTTGATGTGATAAACAATGTAAGCAAAGTTAAATGATACAAGGGCAATGTATGAAAATCAGTTGCATTTCTATATACCACCAACATCCAAGCTGAGAGCCAAATGAAGAATGCAATCCCATTCACAATGAGAAAAATAAAATACCTAGGAATACAGCTAATCAGAGAGGTAACAGATCCCCACAATGAAAATTACATAATACTGCTCAAAAAATCAGAGATGTCACAAATGAATGGAAAGACATTTCATGTTCATGAAAGACAGAATCAATATTGTTAAAATGGCTTTACTGCACAAAGCAATTTACAGATTCAATAGTATTTTTTTCAAACTACAAATTGCATTCTTCACAGAATTAAAAAAAAAAAAAAACTTAAAAAAATTCCTGTGGAACCAAAAAAAAGCCCAAATAGACACAGCAATCCTAAGCAAAAAGAACAAAGCTGGATGTGTCACATTACCTGACTTCAAACAACATTGCAAGGCTACAGTAATCAAAACAGCATACTTCTGATATAAAAACAGATACATAGATCAATAAAAGAATAGACAACCCACAAATAATGCTATACAACTACAACCATCTGATCTTTGAGAAAGTTTCCAAAATTAAGCAATGGAAAAAGGACTTCTATTCAATAAATCGTGCTGGGATAAACTAGCTAGCAATGTGTGGAAAACTGAAACAGGACCTCCTTCCTTACACCATATAGAAAAATCAACTGAAGATGGATTACATATTTAAATGTAAAACCTAAAAATTAAAAAACCCTGGAAGATAACTTAGGAAATATCATTTTGGACATAGGACCCAGCAAAGATTTCATAACAAGGACATGAAAAGCAATTGCAACAACAACAAAAAATGACAAATGGGACCTAATTAAAGAGCTTCTGCATAGCAAAATAATCAACAGAGTAAACAGACAACCTACAGAATGAGAGAAAATTTTTGTAAACTATGCAACTGACAAAGGCCTAACATTTAGCATCTATAAGAAAGTAAAGCAAATTAACAAGCATAAAACCAAACAACCACATTAAAAATTTAGGCCTGGTGTGGTGGCTCACTCCTGTAATCCCAGGACTTTGGGAGACCAAGGCGGGAGGATCACTATTTTAAAATTCCAGATGTCTGCATAGTAGTAAGTTACTTGAGCATGCTCTCATATTTTCTCCTTTTTTAACCTTTTCTAAATATGTTAATTTTTTGCCTTAAGTTAATATATTCAATGTATTTGAAAAGATGAGAGTCATGCTAAGCACTTTTTAGATCTTAAAATATGCCTTTGAGAGTGATGTCTAAAAGGTACAGTCTAGGAAGTCACAGTTCATCATTCCCCCATGAAAACATTAAGAAAACAGCTATAGACTGACTAAATAAATATTATAGAAATTCTGAAACCAGTTAAAGAATGATAGCCACCAATTGGATGCACAGCCAAGAAAGAGACACATTCAATATGTTAGAAAATTCTGTGGTATTTTTATTCACTCTTGCTTCATCTCGTCCCTGGCATAGTAGTGTAATCAGGAGAAAATGAGGAAATCATGTGTTCCTTTGGTTAGGCAGAAGTAGCAGAGTAGAACATGTTTGCAACACTCTGACTCATCTATGGGCTACCTAAAAGATTATTCTCGGGCCGGGCGCGGTGGCTCACGCCTGTAATCCCAGCACTTTGGGAGGCCGAGGCGGGTGGATCATGAGGTCAGGAGATCGAGACCATCCTGGCTAACAAGGCGAAACCCCGTCTCTACTAAAAATACAAAAAATTAGCCGGGCGCGGTGGCGGGCGCCTGTAGTCCCAGCTACTGGGGAGGCTGAGGCGGGAGAATGGCGTGAACCCGGGAAGCGGAGCTTGCAGTGAGCCGAGATTGCGCCACTGCAGTCCGCAGTCCGGCCTGGGCGACAGAGCGAGACTCCGTCTCAAAAAAAAAAAAAAAAAAAAGATTATTCTCTGCATTACTCTGATATATTATGGGAATATGAACTCCATCAAAGATCATATGAAGAACATAAGTATAAATTCTATCTTCAGTCGACAGAAGCTTCAAAAGGCAGGGCCAGTTCCATGGCACGTGAAACCTGCAGGGGAATTGCAAATCCTCATACGCCTGAGGGCAAGACATTACAGGCAGAAGATGGAAACATGACCCATTTAAAGGAGCAACATAAACTAAAAAAGGCAGCTTCCCTAAAAGAAGACATGAATTGGAATTAAAAAACCAAACTTTAAAACCACTTTCTTAATATACTCAAATAGTTAAAATGAAACATAAACTAAACATAAAAAGAAATTAGAAACTATGTATGAAAAATATTCACAATGTGATAGAAATTATTTAAAAAAACCTAACTATCTCTGGAGCTGCAAAAGGCACGAACTCAATTATAAAATTCACTAGGGGGTTTAAGCAGCAAACTCAAACAGGGAAAAGAAACAATCATAAAACTTGAACGATAGTCTTTAGAAATTATTGAGTATGAAAAGTAAAAAAAAAGTAAAGAAAAGTGAATAGGAGGGAAGAGAGAGGTAAAACATCACCAAGCAGATCAAAATATATCTTGTGTTAGTATGTCAGTCTATTTTACATTGCTGTAAATTAATATCTAATGCTGGGTTATTTATAAAGAAAAAAGGTTTATTTTGGCTGACTATTCTGCAGACTATACAAGAAGCATAGTGCTGGCATTTGCTTCTGGTGAGGGCTTCAGGAAGCTTACTCTCATGGCAGGAGGTGTAAGGAGAGCTAGCATGTCACATGGTGAGAGAGGAAGGGAGGAAGTACCAGGCTATTTCAGCAACCAGCTTTCACATGACATAATAGAGTGAGAATTCACTCATTACTGTGAGTAGGGCACCAAACCATTCATGAGAAACTTACCTCCATGACCCAAACCTTCCCCACTATGCCCTATCTCCTACATTAGGGATCACATTTCAACATGGGATTTAGAGGTGATGAGCATGCAAACTACATCAGGAACTTGCAGGAGGTGAAGAGAAAGAAAAAAAAAAAACAGAAAAATTATTTGAATAAATAAATATGGAAAACTTCCCAAATTTGAAAAAAGATATAAATATACAATTACAAGAAGCTCAATGAATTCCAAGTAGGACAAAATCGTAGACCCTAAGACACATTAAAATCTAACTGCTGAAATGGAAAGATAGGAAAAGGACATTGAAAACAGCAAGGTAAAATGGACCGATCATATGCAAGAGCTCTCAATATGACTATCCTAGTGAATTTCTTATCAGACATCTTGGAGAACAGAAATAATAGCATGATACATTTAAAGAGACTGAAGAAAAGAACTGCCAATCAGGAATTCTATACCTGGCAAAACTATATTTCTAAAATAGATGAGTAGTCAGGACATTTTCATACAAACAAAAGCTGAAGTAGCTTACCACCCCTGGACCTTCCCTGCAAGAAATATTAAATGGAGTCCTTCAAGTAGAATCCTAGACAATCACTCAAAGCCATAAGAAAAAATATAAACATCTCCAGAGAAGGTGATATGGTTTGACTGTGTCCCCAAAAATTCATGTGTTAGAAACGTAACCTTTAATGCAAGAATTTTGAGAATTGGAACCTTTAAGAGGAGACTAGGTTATGAGGACTCTGTCCTCATGAATAGATTAATATCACTATAATGGGGGTGGGTTACTTATTGGAAAAGTGTGTATTTTTTTTTTTTTTTTTTTGAGATGGTGTCTTGCTCTGTCGCCCAGGCTGGAGTGCAGTGGTGCAATCTCAGTTCACTGCAAGCTCCGCCTCCCGGGTTCACACCATTCTCCTGCCTCAGCCTCCCAAGTAGCTGGGACTACAGGTGCCCGCCACCATGTCTGGCTAATTTTTTTGGTTTTTTTTTTTTTTTTTTTTTGAGATGGAGTCTCGCTCTGTCGCCCAGGCTGGAGTGCAGTGGTGCAATCTCAGCTCACTGCAAGCTCCACCTCCTGGGTTCACACCGTTCTCCTGCCTCAGCCTCCCAAGCAGCTGGGACTACAGGTACCCGCCACCACGCCTGGCTAATTTTTTGTAATTTTTAGTAGAGACGGGGTTTCACCATGTTAGCCAGGATGGTCTCAATCTCCTGACCTCGTGATCCACCTGCCTCGGCCTCCCAAAGTGCTGGGATTATAGGCGTGAGCCACCGCGCCTGGCCTTTTTTTGGTATTTTTTAGTAGAGACGGAGTTTCACCGTGTTAGCCAGAATGGTCTTGATCTCCTGACCTCATGATCCACCCGCCTCGGCCTCCCAAAGTGCTGGGATTACAGGCCTGAGCCACTGCACCCAGCTGTGTGTATCTTTTAAAAATGAGTTTTGCACTCTATTGCTTTGTCTAGAAGATGTGCTCTGTTTCCTGCCTGCTTTCTCCCATGGGGTGATGCAGAAAGAAGGTCCTTGACAAATGCAAGCCCCTCAATCTTAAACTTTCCAATCTCCAGAACTATAACAAATAAATCTTTGTTCATTATAAATTACCCAGTATTAGGTACTCTGTTATGTCAGTACAAAACAGAGTAATAAAATAGGTAAATAGATGAACATATAACAAATATAAATATTATTATTATTTTAATTTTTACTTGTATCACCACATATTATCTGTAGGATTTAAATTATAAATGAATAAAGATTATAAATCTAAAATCTTTATATGATAATGGTAATGGTTACATAACATATAAAGATATACAGTTTAGCCTTGGACAACATGTGTTTAAATTGTGAGTCCACTTATACATGTATTTTCTTCTGCCTCTGCCACTGCTGAGACAGCAACATGTTCAGGACTGAACATGAAGTGATGAGGATGAAGACCTTTGTGATGATTTAAACCTACTTAATGAATAGTAAGTATATTTTCTCTTCCTTATGATATTCTTAATAAAATACATTCTCTAGCTTACTTACAGAACATAATACATATAAAATACAGAACATGTGTTAAACTACTATGTTATCAGTAAGGTTTCTGTCCAACAGTAGGCAATTAGTAGTGAAGTTTGGGGGAATAGAAAGTTATATGCAGATTTTCAACTTGTAGGGACTTGGCATTCTTATCTCTTATATTGTTCAAGTGTCAATTATAATTTATGACATTAGTAACATAAACTGGGAAAGGTGGTAAACTGCAATGAAGTTTTATATGCAATTGAAGTTAAGATGGTATCAATTTAGGATGGATTTTTATAGCCTTATGATGTTTTATATATTACTCACATGGTAACCAAAGAACCATGTTTTTTGGGTAACCAAAGAGAAAATAGCTAGAAAATATACACAAAAGGAAATAAGAAGGTATTCAAAATGTATTCACATAAAATAAACTATACACAAGGGAGGTCAGTAATACAGGAATAAAGACAAATATCTATAACACACACACACAAATCAAATTACAAAATGGAAAGTATTGATAGTGCTCCCCTGTCAATAATTATCCTAAAGGCATATAAAATATAGTCTTCAATCTGAATACAGAATGGATAAAAATAAGATCAAACTACTTGCTGTATACTAGAGACAGTTTAGATCTAAAGAAATACAAGTGTTGAAAAACAAGATGGAAAATACAAAGGAACAAGAAGAGAGGAGGGGTGGCTATACCAATTTCAGCCAAAATAACTTTAAATTAAAAAAAAATACTACTACAAGAGGGAAAAAGGTAATATTATTTAATGATATAAAAACCAATTCACAAGGAAGATATAACAATTATAAACATATATGTGCTATACATCAGAGCTCCAAAATATAAGAAGCAATTCTTAACAAAATTGAAGAGAAAAATAGGCAACTCTACAATAATATGAGGAGACTTTAGTACCCTACTTCCAAAAATAGACAGCAAAACCAGGCAGAAAATCAATAAAGTAAAAGGGTACTTAAAAAATACCTTGAACATTTAGACCTAATAGACATATAGAGAGCACTGCACTCAACAACAGCAAAGTACATTTTTTTTCACATACACATTGATTGTTTTCAAGGAGAGGCCATATATTTAGGCCCCCCAAAATAGTCTCAATAAATTTAAAAACATTTAAGTCATACAACATACGTTTTCCAATTACAATCAGTTGTTGACTTCTATTCATTGCATTGTGATTGGAAAAGACTACACACACACACACACACACACAATTTTTTTTAAATAATAAATTTAGAAAAGCTGCAGGATACAAAATCAACAAAAAATTAATTGTCTTTCTATATACTAACATTGAAAAATTTGAAATAAAAATTAAAAAACAATTTTATTTACAATAACATCAAAGGGAATAAATACTTAGAAATAACTTAGTCAAGGAGGCAAAACATTTTTATAGTATAAATGAAAAAAATTGATGAAAGAAATTAAATAATATATTAATAAATGGAAAGAAATCCTGTTTTCATAAATTCGAAAACAATATTGTTAATATGTGTAGAGTATCCAAAGCTGATGTACAAATTCAACACAATCCTGATCAAAATGATGGCTGAGAGAGAGGGAGAGAAAACTCTCTCATGCCTCTTCTTTTAAAGGGACTATTCCCACCCATAAGAGCTTCAGTTTCACAACCTAGTTAACTCCCAAAGGCTCTTCTTCTATTCACAATGGGGCTAAGGGTTTTAACATAAATTTTGTGAGAAAAACAACATTTAGTCCACGGCATTCTACCCCTGCCCCCCACCAAATGCTTGTTTTTATCACAGGCCAAATTAATTCCTTTCATTCTAACATTTCTAAAACTCTTAACTCATTCCAGAATCAATTCTAAAATCTAAAGTTCTTAACTTCATGTAAATATCATATCATCTAAATCAGATGTGAGTAAGACTTTCATCCTTAGACAAAATTCCTCTCTAGCTGTAAGTCTGTCAAACTAAAGAAGTTATATGCTTCTAAATCAATGGTGGGAGAGGCATGGAATAGACATTCTCATTCTAAAAAGGAAAAACAGGAAAGAAGAAAAAAGATTATAGTTCCAAGCACATTCAAAACCTAACTAGGCAAACTTTGTAAAATCTTAAGGGTGGAGAAAAAAATTTTTTTTTGTCCCAGTGCTCTGCCTTCTGGACCCACTAGGTAGCAGTGTCACCCTCACGGCTCAGCGGGGCAATGCCTATGTCATGGCTGTCTGCAGTGCCTGACCTATGGCCATGATGGGGCTTTCTGCCAGGGCTCTGCCTATGCTGACACTCTGCCATGCAGAAATTGCCTCCACAGGCTCTACTGGATGGCACTATCCCTATGGCATGGAATGTCCCTGCTCCCTTAGCTTCGTTGGGCACTGTCTGCCTTACAGATCATTGAATTACCTTTAAGGTCCTCTTTTTCTTGAAAGTTAGCACACAGTTTCAGCCTTTTTAATTTTATCACATTTTCTCTTTTTTTAATTTTTTATTTCCAGCTGGCGGTGATTCTGCTGGTATAATCAGATATCTATTCCTGGGTATTTTTAGTTGACTGATTGAGTCTGTGCTTCAAACTGGCAGTTTTCCTGCTGGGGTGGTTGATTAATTCCATGGTTCACATCCATCTATCTCAATCTCCTTATCAAATGTTTGCTTTGTCACACCCTCAATGCTCTATAACATATTTTAAAACATGCTTTCTCACTTTGTGCAATATAAACAGATTGAAAAAGTTATACTTTTTCAGGTTTTGGCTTATTCATTTATTTTTTATTCTTATTTTTTTAGAGATGGAATCTCTCTCTGTTGCCCAGGCAGAAGTGCAGTGGCACAATCAAACTTTATTGCAGCCTTGAATTCCTAGGCTCAAGCAGTTCACCTGCCTCAGCCTTCCAAGTAGCTGGGACTACAAGCATGTGCCACCATGCCCAGCTATTTTTAATATATTTTTTATTGTAAAGATGGGGTCTCATTATGTTGTTTATGCTAATTTTGAACTCTTGGCCTCAAGCAATCCTACTGCCTTGGCTTCCCAAAATGCTGAGATTACAAACATGAGCCACTGTGTTCAGTCACTGGTTCTTTTATACTTAAAATTCAAATTGTCTTTTTTGTAGATGAAATGATTCTATACCTAGAAAACCCCATCAACTCAGCCCAAAACTTCTTAAACTGATGTATTAGGGTTCTCTAGAGGGACAGAACTAATGGAATATCTATCTATCTATCTATCTATCTATCTATCTATCTATCTATCTATCTATCTATCTATCTTACATTATCACAAGGTCCCACAACAGACCATCTGCAGGCTGAGGAGCAAGATGAGCCAGTCCGAGTTCCAAAACTGAAAAAATTAGAGTCCAATGTTTGAGGGCAGGAAGCATCCAGCACTGGAGAAAGATGTAGGCTGGGAGGCTAAGCCAGTCTCTCTTTTCACATTTTCCTGCCTGCTTATATTCTAGTTGCACTGGCACCTGATTAGATAGTGCCCCTTTCTTGGTTCCAGGAGGGGCCAAATGCGGCAACTTATTCTTCACCTTAGAAGAAATATCTCAGCAAGCCCCACATCACTAAACCCCCAGAAATTTTACTGAGGTAGAAGTTCCCCTGAATTTTAGTTGGATTTGTTTCCCATTCTCTGGCAATGCAAATACCTCACCAATAAGCCAGTGTGTTTGCTACTTCTTGCTCACTGGATCCAATCAGCATAATGTCATCAATGTAATGGGCCAGTGTGAAATCTTGTGGAAGCAAAAAGTGATCAAGATTTCTCCGAATAAGATTATGACACAAATCTGGAGAGTCGTTATAACCCTGAGGTAAGACAGTAAATGTACATTGCTGGCCTTGTTAGCTGAAGGCAAATTGTTTCTGGTGGGCCTTATGGGCAAGAATAGAGAAATAGGCATTTGCCAAGTCAATGGCTGCATACCAGATATCAGGAGATGTGTTAATTTGCTCAAGCAATGAAACCACGTCTGGTACAGCAGCTGCAATCTGAGTTACCACTTGGTTAAGCTTATAATAATCCACTGTCATTCTTCAAGAGCTGATAAGCAAATTCAGCAAAGTCTCAGGATACAAAATCAATGTTCAGGAATCACAAACATTTCTATACACTAACAACAGACAAGCAGACAAATTGAGAATAAACTTTCATTTACAATTACCACAAAGAAAATAAAATATCTAGGAATATAGCTAACAAGGGAAGTGAAGGAACTCTTCAAGAAGAACTACAAACCACTGCTCAAGAAATCAGAGAGGAAACAAAAAGGTGAAAAAACATTCCATGTTCATAGATAGGAAGAATCGGTATTGTGAAAATGGCCATACTGCCCAAAGCAATTTATATATTCAATGCTATTTCCATTAAACTACCATTGAAATTCTTCAAAATCTTAGAAAAAACTATCTTAAAATTCATATGGAACCAAAAAAAAAAAAAAAAAAAAAAAAGGAGCCCATATAGCCACAACAATCCTAGGCAAAAAGAATAAAGCTGGAGGTATCACACTACCTGACTTCAAACTATACTACAAGGCTACAGTAACCAAAACAGCATGGTACTGGTACAAAAACAAGTATATAGACCAATGGAACAGAATAGAGAACTCAGAAATAAAACCACACATCTACAACCATATGAGCTTCAAAATAGCTGACAAAAACCAGCAATGGGGAAGAGATTCCCTATTTAATAAATAGATAAATAGTGCTAAGAAAACAGGCTAGCCATATGCAGAAAATTGAAACTGGACCCCTTCCTCACAACTTATAGAAATACTAAATCAAGGTAGATTAAAGACTTAAATGTAATACCCAAAATTATAAAACCCTGGAAGGAAATATAGGCAATATCATTCAGGATATAGGCACAGGCAAAGATTTTATGAAGAAATTAACAAAAGCAATTGCAACAAAAGCACAAATTGACAAATGGGATCTAATTAAACTAAAGATCTTCTGTGCAGCAAAAGAAACTATCATCAGAGAGAACAGACAACCTACAGAATGGAAGAAAATTTTTGCAGCCTATCTATCTGACAAAGGTATAATATCCAGAATCTACAGGAAACTTTAGCAAATTTACAAAAAAAAAAAAAAACTCCACTAAAAAGTGGGCAAAAGACATGAACGGACACTTCTCAAAGGAAGACATTTATGTGACCAACAAATACATGAAAAAAAGCTCCACTGATCATTAGAAAAATGCAAATTAAAACCACAATGAAATATCATTTCATGCTAGTCAGAATCACGATTATTAAACAGTCAGGAAGCAACAGATGCTGGCGAGGTTGCAGGGAAATAGGAATGCTCTTACACTGTTAGTGGGAATGTAAATTAGTGCAACCACTGTGGAAGATGGTGTGGCAATTCCTCAAAGATTTAGAATCAAAAATACCATTTGACCCAGTAACCCCATTACTGGGTATATACCCAAAGGAATGTAAATTATTCTGTTATAAAGGTACATGCACATGTACGTTCATTGCAGCATATTCACAATAGCAAAGACATGGAATCAACCCAAATGTCCATCAATGATAAAATGGATAAAGAAAATATGGTACATATACACAATGGAATACTATGCAGCCACAAGAAGGAATGAGATCATGTCCTTTTCAGGGACATGGATGGAACTGGAAGCCCTTATCCTCAGTAAGCTAATGCAGGAACAGAAAACTAAACACTGCATGTTCTCACTTATAAGTGGGAGCTGAACAATGAGAACACATGGACACAGGGAGGGGAACAACACAAACTGAGGCCAGTTGAGGGAAGGTAGGGGGAAGAGCATCAGAAAAAATAGCTAATTCATGCCAGGCTTAACAAGATGATGGGTTCATAAGTGCAGCAAATCACCATGGCACGTTTACGTATGTAACAAACCTGCACATCCTGCACGTGTACCTGGGAACTTAAAATTAAAAAGAAAACAAATTTAAATATAAAAAATAATTTTCTATCTAATTTATTTCTCTCTTCTCACATATTACTATAATCAGTCAGGAAAAACAGACTGCTCATTCAACACTTCACTTAGAAGTCTCCTCGGTAAATATTGAACTTCATTGCTCATCAGTTTTACCTTTCAAAAAACACTGGAACTCAAACACAATTTAGCCAAGTTCTTTGCTACTTTATAACAAGCATTGCTTTTCCTCCATTGTCCAATGATGCATTCCTCCTTTTCATGTGAACCTCATTAGGATGGCTTTTACCATCCACAGTTCCACAAACATCCTGTATATTATTATTTATGTATTCTCTAAGAAGAGAAATGCTTTATCTACAGCTCTCCTCTTTCTTATCCCTTATTATAATCACCTTTAAAAGTCTCTTTGGAGACTTGGGTGTTTTTAGCATGTACTTCAAAACTCTTCCAGCCTCTATACATTACCCAGTTCCAAAGGCATTTTTAGGTGTTTAATACAGCAGCAGCTCATTTCTTGGAACCAATTTCTGTCTTAGTCTGTTGGACTGCTATAACAAAATACTATAGACTGGGTCGCTTAAATGACTGAAATTTATTAGTTATATGTCTGAAGGTTGTGAAGCCCAATATCAAGGTGCCAGCAAAACTGGTGTCTTAGGAGGACACACTTCTTAATTTGCAGACAGGCAGTTTTTGTATCCTCACGTGGCAGAGAGAGAGAGAGAAAGGAGAAATGGGGGGTGAAGAGCAAGTCGGTCTTCTCACTTTTTTTCTTATAACCTTTTCTTCTAATGCCCCAATACCATTCATGAGGGCTCGAGCTTCGTGATATAATTACTTTCTAAATGCCCCACCAACTAATTTCATTACATTGGGAGTTAGAATTTCAGTATATAAATTTGAGGGGAAAAGAAACATTCCGTTTGTAGAATAAACCAATAGGATAAAATAGAAAGCCCAGAAATAAACTTTTGCCTATATAGGCAAATGATTTTAGACAAAGTCATTGAATTGAGAAAACAAATGGTGATGGGAAAGCTGGATATCTACATGAAAAAGGATCATGTCTGATACTTACCTTATACCATATACAAAAATTAACTCAAAATTGATCAAATGCCTAAATGTAAGAGCTAAGGGCATAAGACTCTCAGGGAAAGACATAAGGGAAAATCTTTGTAACATTGGATTTGGCAATAATTTCTGAAATATGATACCAAAAGCACAGGCGAAAGAAGAAAAAATAGATAAATTGAAGTTTATTAAAGTTAAAAATATTTTTGCACTAAAAATACTACCAGAAAGTAAAAATGCAACCTACATAATGGGAAAAATATTTTCAAATCATATATTTGATAAAGAGTTAATATCCAGAATATACAAAGAACTATAACTCAGTAACAAGAAAATACAAAACAACTTGAGTAATAAATGGGTAAAAAAGTTGAATAGTCATTTCTCCAAAGAAGATATACAAATGACCATTAAGTACAAGAAAAAATGGTCAACATGACTAACAAAGTCTCTGTGTGTGTGTGTTGTGCCACTTGGAGCTGTGAATGGGATGACACAAGCAACCCTGTGGGCACCACCAAAGGGACTGTGCTGGGTCTGACCTGAAGCCAGAATATCACTGGGTTTTTCCCAACATCTGCTATAACCACTCCCTGTCTACTGCCTATGTTTGTAAACACACTAGGTCTCTACAATCAGATGGTAAAGCCAGCCGGGCCTGTGTTTTTCCCTTCTTGTTGATAAGTTCCCCAGGCTTGGGCAGGTCCAGAGGTACCATCTAGGAGCCAGGGAGTCAAAAACCTCAGACATTTACAAAAACCTCAAACAATAGACATAGTTCTATTGTACTGTGGCTGAACTAGCACTCAAACAAAAAGACACAGTTTTTCTCACTCTTCCCTCAGGCAGACTCTTTCCACAGGCAGACAAGCCTCCCCTTGTGGCCATCCACCACCACAGGCCCACAGAGAGTATTGCCAGGCCATTGCCAATGTTCACTTAAGGCTCCAGTGCTCTTCATTCGGCTTGTGGTAAATGCTGCCAGGCCTGGGATTCACACTTTTAGGCAGTGGGCTACCCTCTTTCTGAAGGAAGATTCATAAGTGCCATACAAGAGCCAAGACCTTGAATTCTGGACCCTAAGAGCCTGCTTGGTGCTGTATAACCCTGTGGCTGACCTGGTACCTAAGTTGCAAAACAAAGTCCCCTTTACTTTTCCCACTGCTTTTCTCAAGAAGGATTCTTGCCCCACAGTCACTACAGCTGGGAATTTGCTTAGCGTAACCTAAAGCCAGCAAATCTTAAAGTCTCACCCAAGGCCTTTGGTGTACTACCTGGGTATTGCTGCTGGTTATTCAGGGCCCAAGGGCTCTTTAATCAGCAGGTTATGGGTCTTGCCAGGACTGTGTCTTTCCCTTCAATGTAGTTGGTTTCCTTCTTGTCCATGGTGTGTCTAAATATGTCCTCCAGGAGCTAGGACCTGGAACGGGGGCCTCATGACTCTGACCCATGCCCTATCCTACTGTGACTAAGCTGGTAGCCAAGATTCAAGACAAAGACAAAGTCCTATTTATTCTTCTCTCTCCTTTCAAGAGAGAGAAAGAGGTGTCTTTTGGACTCAGGAGCTATGCCGCCTGCGTTTGGTAGAGCAGTGGTGCAAACATTCTCTTAGCCATCCTGGCTGATGTCTGAGTCAGTTGCATGCTTGTTTAGTCCACTGGCTCTGAACACAGATCAGCACCAGGACTTACTTAGGAGTTTCATTCCTTTTGGTCTATGCTGCCTTTCAAGTTTACTTAGAACCCCAGAGCACTTTAGACCATTGTAGTATGACTTATTCATACTCAAATTCTGACCACCAGCATGCACAATTTCCCTCTCCCTAGGATTGGTTTAAATGTTTTCTCCATCGGTTGGCAACTTAACCAACCCAATCAGTTTAGTTTCTTCTGGTTTTGCTTTCCACTGTAAGCACTGAGTTCAATGGAAATTCTCACAATCACTGCACTCTCTCTCTCCCATGTGCATAGCTTTTCTCTTCACACCATGGTTGCTGCTGAGCAAAGGGGGAACGGTGGCATCAGTGATTCCAGTCTATGTTTTCTACCATTTTTAGTGTCTATCTCAGTGATATAATATTAAAACCAGGTACTGTGAATGCTCACCTGATTTTTAGTTTTTATTAATGTGCTTTTTGTGTGTAGATGGTTTTTAAATTTGGTGGTTCTGCAAGGGGGTGGTGATCAATGAAATCTTCTATACAGCCATCTTTCTCTGTCTCTCCTGTTTGTACTTTTGTTCTACATACTTGTGATTCCAAAGTATAAAAATTTAATATGCCTTATATTTCTGTAGTTTTTAACTTATACAAATATAATTTTTATTGGTTTCATGATATTAAATTGACTGGTTTTATTAATATTTAGTTCACTTCACGTATTGTTTTATATTTGTTCTATTTCTATAATTTTCATTGTTATAAATCTTGTGACAGTAAAGATGTTTGTAGATAAAACTTCCTTTTATAAATTGCTTAGGACAAATCTCCAAGAAATGAATCTAAGACCTTAGATATTTTTAAAAGCATTTACGGACTTCTAAGTAAATAAAAATCCCAGTTTGAATGGATTTCTAAATTACTAATATTAATGTTGTTACATTAATATTTATAATATTATATTATTGAGATATATTGAGAATATTAATACTGTTCATATTATTGAGACATAATGAGAATATTAATAATATTCATATTATTGAGATAAAACATTTTTAGTTTACTTGTTCTGAAAATAATATAAGAAAATACGAATTCTAAATGTGTATATGTCAAGGGTTGAAAAGATTGGGACATTTAATCCATTTATTCATTCATTTATTGATTTCACTTCCTCAACACTAACATATTCTCTATTTTGAGACAATCATTTAGTGTCTACTGTGCTGATCTTTATAGGCAATAAAGATATTTCTCTCAGTTAACAATACAGTGGAAGTAGTAGCCTCATCAACAAATAAATTGATACTTCAAAACATGTTTAACAAAATAAAAGTTAATTATTTTTTACCTACGGAGAGAAGCGATCACTACTTACTGAGGAATCCAGAGCACTAAAAGTGGGCCTTAAAGATGTATAGTAGAAATTGTAAAAATAGCAGTGCAGCTGTAATCAGGAGACTCAGTTCTAATATCTGAATACCTCAAATAATTTAGGAAAATCGGTGACATATTCTGTGCTTCAGTTTGATTATGCATTGTATGGAGATAATGATATATCTTTCTTCACAGGGTTGTTGTAAAGATCAAATAATGGTATTGTATTATCCTGAGTTTTTCAGGAAACAGAACGTGAGGCAAAAACATAGGTGTCACTATTTTGGTAGTAAAGTACCAGGGAAGCAGGAGTGAAAAGGTAGAAAGGGAATCAGGAAAGAAGAAAGCACTAATATAAGTGTGTGCTATTGAGCTGAGTGACACAAATCAATCAATCACCCAGGACTGTCTTCGAAGGGGGCTGAATAAACTATTACATAGTAAAGCAATCTGTCTAAATATGAAAGCAGAAAAATTTATCTTGCAGTCTCCTACTGATCAATAATTTACCCTATGGAGTGTTCTTTCCCCTGAATCTCTGGGTTGTAAGCAGTACTTGTATATCATATATTCAGCATTAATAAGGAAATCCCATGTATAATCGCAACAGATGGGCGTTGCAGACATAAAGCAAGATGTTGTGAGGTTATGTTCATTTGTTTCAATATCCATGCTGATTTTTATTCTCCAGAGGCTGCTAGGATAAAAAGAAAATACAATTTTTAATTGGATGAGGCACAATATATATGAGGTGATAATGGACATAGTTAATATTAAGAAGTCAAATGTCCAGCAATAAGAAGACACCGTAAGCAAAGGAGGTAATAATGACTGGCTATTATTTTATTTTTATTTTTTCTGAGACAGAGTCTCGCTGTGTCACCAGGCTGGACTGCAGTGGCGTGATCTCGGCTCACTGCAACATCCACCTCCCTGGTTCAAGCGATTCTCCTGCCTCAGCCTCCCGAGTAGCTGGGACTACAGGCACACGCCACCACACCTGACTAATTTTGTATTTTTAGTAGAGATGGGGTTTTACCATGTTAGCCAGGATGGTCTCAATCTCTTGACCTCATGATCTGACCGCCTCGGCCTCCCAAAGTGCTGGGATTACAGGCATGAGCCACCATGCCCAGCCAATGAATGGCATTTTTATGAACAGTAAGTAATCCTGTTTGAACTAGCATTGTGAATATAGTCAAAAAAGTAAAAGATCAACCTTGAAAACTAAGAGGTGACAATAATCTTTTTATAGTTTATTCTGTAATCCATGCCAGAAAATTAAAAAAAAAATGAATAAGATAATGGCATGATAGAATTATGCTTTAAGATTACACTTGGAAGTAGCAAGAATATATGAATATATAACAAGAAGAAGTGGAGAATGAGAGAATAAGAGAAAGGAAACAGAAAACTTGATGAACAGTTATATTATGAATATGGACATAACCACTAACCATAAGGGAGCACCTTAATGCTGTCTAGCAATACTACTCCATTTACCTCGCCCATTGTTCTAGAATCTAGATAACTATTTCACAGTTTCTTCTCTCTGCTCCAAACTTCAACATCTTTTCTCCTTCTATTTTCAGCTCATGAAAATGCTTTT
Organism: Homo sapiens; assembly: GCF_000001405.40. Lineage (NCBI taxonomy): Eukaryota > Metazoa > Chordata > Mammalia > Primates > Hominidae > Homo > Homo sapiens. The sequence continues at coordinate 4,394,527 of NC_000024.10, read as the reverse complement.
CTACTTACTGTGAATGTAGAAGCAATGTAAAATACCTTTCATGCTTTCATCCTTTCTCACTTATTTTATTGGGGTCCATGTAATTTCATTTGCCACCTACTACTATACATCAATTCTGTACAAAAGTGCCTGTCTTTTTGCCTATTCAAAGACTTTTATAGGTGTGTGTCTTCCATGTTAAAAACACACAACATGCCAAAAAGATCACTTCCCTTGACTCCCCATCTATTTTTTTTCAGTTTCTGCTTCATTTCACTGATCTTCTTTACATAAAATTTCCCTAAAAGAATCTTCACTCTTTGTCTCCACTTTCTCTCCTACTATTCTGTCTTATGCCCAGGCAAATAAGGCTATTGTAATCAGCATTACAATGAAACTGCTCTAATTAAGGAAACCCATTGTTTCTGTGCTGCTATATCCAGTGATCGATTCCCATTACCCACCTTACTCAACCTATTAATAACAATGGACATAGTTCATAGCTTTCTCTTTCTTAAGAAAATTTCATTTTTGGCTTCTAGATGCCATTCTTCTCTTACTTCATTAGAGGCTCCTTTTTCTTACTAAAGCTCTTTCTGCCTGGTTGTACCGCATCAACCTTACCTTTAAAAATAAGTATGCTGCAAGACACAATCTCCATACAGTCCTTTTTTGTACTGACAAGAATTCCGTAGGTGGCATTTTTTTTCATACTCTAGGTAGACATCTATTAATGAGTCATAAAATAAATATTATAGGACAGAACTAGGTTGATAAGGGGTGGGGGAATAGAACAGGAAATATTAGATTTCATTGTACTTAATAAAAACAAGTATTTTTCATATGTGCTGGGTCACAATATAAAATGTACTTTTAAATTATAATTTATGATCAAAAGTGAAAGCTACTCTTCTTGGTCACCTCATCTATAAGGTGACCTCATCTAGTCCCATGGAATTGAATACCATACCATACCATATTTAAATGCTCAGTGTGTTCCTCTCTCCTGAACTCAAAATTATTTATGAAACTATATATTCAATGTCTTTACTTGGCTGTCTCCTAGCCATTTCAACATCAGCACATGTAAACATCAACTAAGTTGACTTTATTTGACTTTTTACTAAATAAAAGTCAACTCTGGTTTCCACCTAAGCTTGCTCCTTTTAAAGTCTTTTGAATCTTAGTGAATAAAAATGTCCTTCTTTCAATTTCCCAGGCCAAAAACGTTGGGGGTAATCCTGGTTGTCATTTCTCTGAAACTCTACATTCAATCCATCTGCACGTTCCTTAAGTTCTGCCTTTGAATGCATCCCAATTTCAACACTTATCTCCACTTTTACTGCTACTATTCTGATTCAAGGCACCATATTTTTTTTGCCTGGAAGAAAGTAGGAGTCAGTTATCTGGTCCCCCTACTCCTCTCCTTATCTCTACTACTCTTTATTTTCCACACAGCCTCCAGCATTTTCATTTTAAGACATAGGACAGATTATATTACTTCTGTACTTAAGACATTTAAATGTCTTCCCATGTCATTTTGAGTAAACACCAAATATTTAAAAAGGTGTGCAAACCTCTCTGTGATCTGACTACTGTTACCACTCTTACTAATTTGCTCTTCACACTGATTTTGTTGTTGTTCAATGAAAACACAGTGTATGCTTCCACATCAGGCACTTAACACTTGCAGTTTCCTCTGCCTGAAATATTATTCCCCCAAATATAAGATATTTACCTAAAGAGCTCCCTCCCTGCCTTCAAGTCTTTACTCAAATATTACTTTGTCAATGAAGTTTTCCTCAATTATCTTTATTTATGTAACTAAATATTTCTTATTATGCTTACCTTGCTTTTATTTTTTCCATAGCAGCTTTTATTATTTAAAATACTAAAAATTTACTCTTTATTTTGTTATTTCTTTTGTTTAAAATTGTGGTAAGAACACTTAACATAAAATCTACCCTTTTAACACAATTTTAAGTACACAGTGTAGTAGAGTCATTTTTCAGTCTATGGGGTATTGATTTCAGGTCCCTTACCCAGTCCACATCTGTGAATGCCAGAATTGTGGATGCTCAAGTTTCTTATATAAAATGATATGATATTTGCATATAACCTATTCATATCCTTTTGTATACTTTAAATAATCCTTCTAGATTACTTGTAACACCTTATACAATGTAAATGGCATGCAAACAGTTGTTATACTACATTTTTAATGCATATTATTTTATTGTTTTTGAATATTTTTGATCTTTGCTTGGTTGAATCCACAGATGCAGTACCCATAAATATGAAGCATCTACTGTATTGTTAGCTATAGGCATACATTTGTATGGTAGATTTCTAGAACTTTATTCATATTGCATAATTGAAACTTTATAGACTTTGAATAGCAATTCTCCACTTTTCCCTCCTCACACCCCATTAACTATTATTCTACTTTTTGTTTCTGTGAGTTTGACTCTTTTAAATATCTCATATAAGTGGCACCATACAGTATATATTTTTCTGTAACTGACTTATTTCATTTAGTGTAATGTTTTCCAAACCCATTCATATTGTCACCTATAAGAGAATTTCTTGGCTGAATAGTATTTTACTGTATGTATATTTGACACTTACTTTACCTATTCATCTGTTGATGGACATTTAGGTTGTTTCTGTATCTTAGATTTTGTGAATACTGCTACAATGAGCATGGAAGTGCTGATGTCTCTTTGATAGATATTATGATTTCAATTCTATGTCAAACTAAAAAGTTTCTGCACAGCAAAGAAAACAATCAATAGAGTAAAGAGACAACCTAACAAATGCAAGAAAATATTGGCAAGCCATTATCTGCTAGGGGATTAATATCTAAAATTAGTAAATAACTAGTATAACTCAATAGCAAAAAAACAACACAATTAAAAAATGGACTCAGGAAGTGAATGGATATGTCCTCGAAGATAACAATCAAATGACCAACAGGTATATGAAAAGATGTATAATGGAAATGCAAATCAAAACCACCATACCCCTTCATGGGTCCCATGTTTAAAAAATGGTGGGCTTAGTATAATCTGGGGTTGGAGCTTTTGGGCCTCTGCCATCAAAAGGTGAAGCAGAGGACATGGAAACTCTCACTCCTCATTCTCCATAGACTGGCCAGAATCGTTCCATGTTTGCTAGTCTCTTAGAAGAAAAGAATGCTGGCCAGTTGTTGTATCAAAACTGCAACAGGGATGGGCAGCAGTCAGGCAGTTGGGTTGATTGAAATTAGTGGTGGAGTCTTTTTAAAGGTCTGACTTATGTTCAGCCTTTAGAAAAAACAGCCTAATGGTAACTCAGCTTCCACAGTTTCTCTGGGGTCCCCTTGGACAAGGAGAGGTCTATTCAATCAGTTGAGCAGCTTAGAATTGTATTTGCATTTCTCAACATGTATTCCTTAATTGCATTTTTGAAGAGAAACTAAAGATCTCCAATTTATTCAATGTAATTCATTGGTCTATAAATAAGGAAAAATAACTCTTTTACCTACTTCACTAGGTTTGTTGTAAACTAAATAAAGTTCATTGTTATTACATTATAGTCTGTTCTACTCATTCCAAATGTGTTTAAAGTATAATTATTGAGACAGGTGGCCAAGACAGCCGACTAGAAACAGCTAAGATATGTGACTCTCATGGAGAGGAACTAAAAGGGCAAATAAATACAGCACCTTCAACTGAAACATTCAAGTACTTACAATGGGACTAATCAAGGAAACAACTTGACCCATGGAGAATGGAGAAAAGCAAGGCAAGACAACGGCCCACCTGGGAGTGATGCAGAGCCAAGAAAATATCCCCAACCCAGGGAAGTGGTGAGTGAATGTGTGACCCTGGGAAACCACACTTCTCTCATGGATCTTTGCAACCCTTGAAATAGGAGATCCCCTCATGAATCCACTCCATGAAGGCTGTCAGTCTGACACACGGAACTACGTGGGGTCTTGGCAAGGAAAACACTCAGACACATACAGATACTTGGGAGCTTTAGATACTCCAGCTCCTGTCTTCCCAACAAAAGTATCTGCAACTCCTGCAAAGCAGAAGGTTAGACCTCCATACATACCCCTGAGGAAAGAGTTTGAATCCCAGTATTTGGGTGACTTAGTCATTTCAGCCTTTGAGCTTTGCAGAACCCTAGCTGACTGGGGTGAAAGTGGTACCTCAGCACAAGCACAGCGGCTCTATGAAAGTGTGGCCAGTCTGTTTACTTAATCTTTCCTCGATCTCATTTTTCCTCATTATGTAGAACCTCCCAAATGGGGCCTCAAATCACCTTTACCAGTGTTTTCCAGCCAACAGAAGTTTGAAAACTCTCTGGGACAGAGTTTTCAGTGGGATGGGCAGGTCACCTTCTTTGCTGTTTGGGAGACTTACCCATTCCAGCCGTTAGGCTTTGGAGAACCCAAGCTAACTGTGGGTGGAAGGGATCCCATAGCACAGAACAGCTGCTGTACCAAAATGTGGCCAGACTACTTTTTAAAGCAGGTCCCAAATCCATTCCATCTCATTGGGTAGGACCTTCCAACTGGGGCCTCCAGCCACCACCGTCTGTATTCTCCAGCCAACAGAGATTTGAAAAGTCCCTGAGACAGAGCTCCCAGAGGGAAGAGCAAAAAACCATCTTTGCTGTTTGGGTGACTTAGTCATTCCAGCCTCCAGGCTTTGGAGTGCCCAAGCTGGCTGGGGCAAAAGTGGTACCCATACACATCTCACAGCTGCTCTATAAAATCAGGCTCAGACAGCTTTTCGAAGTGGGTCTCTGATGTCATTACCCCTCACTTGGCAGGACTGCCTAATTGGGCCCTCCAGCTGTCCCTGCCAGTGTTCCCTTGCCTACAGAAATTTGAAAACTCCTCAGATGGAACTCCCAGAGGGATGGGTGGGCCACCATCTTTGGTGTCTGGGTGACTTAGCAGTTCCAACCTTCAGGATTTGGAGAGGCCAAACCATCTGGGAGTGAAACAGTACCCAGCACAGCACAGTGGCCCCATGAAAATATGGCCAGATGGCTTTTTTAAGCAGGTCCCAACACTGTTTCTCATCATCAGGTGGATCACCTTAATGAGGTTATACAACTACCCCCACTGGTGTTCCCCAGCTGACAGAGGTTTCAGACCTCCCTTGGATAAGTCTCCCAGGAAGAGGGACAGGCCACCGTCTTTGCTATTTGGGCGACTTAGCTGTTTCAGCCTTCAGGCTTTAGAGTGTCTGAGGTAATCAGGGACTGAAGTGGATGCCCAGTACCCCACAGGTATTCAACATAATATTGGCCATACTACTTTTTTAAGTGAGTGTCCAATCCAATTCCTCTTGACTGGGCAAAAAAGTCCCATCTGGGATTTTCAACAACCTCCTACAGGTGTATTCAAGATGGCAACAGGTGCTTACCTCCCTGAGACAGAGATTACAGAGAAAGGAAAAGGTTGCCATTTTTGCTGTTTCACCTCCTTCACTGATGATACCTACAGGTACCAGAAAATATGAGGTGACTACAGACTGGATTGGACCCTCAGCATATCACAGCAGCCTTATGGAAAAGTGGTCAGATTTTTGAAAAAAATATACAAAGATCAGCAACCTCAAAGATTAAAGACAGATAAGCCCACAAAATTGAAAAAGAATCAGTGTAAGAATGCTGAAAACTCAAAAAGCAAGAATGACCACTTTCCTCTGAAAAAGCACATCACCACTCCAGCAAGGTTTCAAAACCAGGCTGAGCCTGTGGTGGCTGAAATGACAGAAGTAGAATTCAGAATATAGATAAAAATGAAGTTCACTGAGTTAAAAGAGTATGTTATAACCCAATGCAAGGAAGCTAAAATTTATGAGAAAACATTGCAAGAGCTGATAGATAAAATATCCAGTATAGAAAAGAACAGAACTGGTCTGATAGAGCTAAAATCACAATCTAAGGATTTTATAATGCAATCACAAATATTAGTAGCAAAATAGACCAAGCAAAAGAAAGAATCTCAGAGCTTGAATACTGCCTTTCTGAAGTAATACAGGCAGACAAGAATAGATAAAAAACAAAAAGAAATAAAAAATCCAAGAAACATGAGATTATGTAAAGAGACGAAATTTATAGCTGTTTGGTTTGACACGTAATCATCAGATTCTCTAAAGTGGAAATGAAAGAAAGAATGTTAAAGACAGCTAGAAAAAAAGGCCAGGTCTTCTACAAAGTGAAGCCTTTCAGACTAACAGTGGACCACTCAGCTGAAAACCTACAAGCCAGAAAAATTAGGGGCCAATGTTCAACATTTTTAAATAGAAGACATTCCAACACAGAGTTTTATATTTATCCAAACTAAGCTTCATAAGTGAAAGAGAAATAAAATCTTTTTCAGAGAAGCAACTGATGAGGGGATTTGTTACCACTAGTGTTGCCTTACAAGAGACCCTAAAGGAAGTATTAAATATAGAAAAGAAAGACCATTACCAGCCACTACAAAACCACATTGAAGTAAACACGAGTGACACTACAAACCAATCACATAAACAAGTCAAATAAACACATATCAATACTAACACTAAATGTAAATGGGCTAAATGTTTCAATTAAAAGAAACAGAGTGACAAGCTGGATAAAGAACCAAGACCCATTGGTACGCTGTCTTCAAGAAACTCATCTCACATGCAATAACACATACAGGCTCAAAATAAAGAGATGAAGGAAAATCCACCAAGCAAATAGAAAATAGGAAAAGCAGAAGTTGCAACTGTAGTTTCTGACAAAACAGACGTTAAAATAACAAAGATCAAAAATGACAAAGAAGATCATTACATAATGGTAAAGGGTTCAATTCAACTAAAAAAAATCTAACTATTCTAAATATATATACACTCAACACAGGAGCAATCAAATTCATAAAGCAAGTTCTTAGAGACCTTCGAAGAGGTCTAGATTCCCACACAATAATAGTGGAAGATGTTAACATCCCACTGTCAATATTAGACAGATCATTGAAACAGAACATTAAGAAAGGTATTCAGGACCTGAACTCAGCACTACATCAAGAAGATCTGATAGATACCCACAAAACTGTGTGGATTCTGAAATTCGAACAGTGGGCAGGAAGCTCTCTAGCAGGAACTCTGGCCTACCAAGAGTCGCTGTTTCCCCTTTTTCTTCCTTTTCACCCAAGAAAACCCTGTCTCACTCACCATTTAAATTGTCTGCCAGCCTTAATTTTCATGGCCATGGGACAAAAAACCTTGTCCTTAGCTGAACTAAGGAAAGGTCCTGCAACACTAGTATTGGGGCAATATTTAGTAACCTGATAAATAAATAGTGCTTTTTAAAAAATTATATATATATATAATTTAAAATATATTATTAAATGCATAATTGAAAACATTAAATATATATTTAATAATATATTTTATTATATAAACATATTATATTCTAACAATATAAATATGTTACAAACATAATATATAAAATAATATAATTATATTATAGGTATAATCTATATTTGTTATTATATATCATCTATGCATTATATCATTATATATAATAAATATATTAAAATACATATTCATGTATGAATAGAAATATATAAAATAATTATATAATATATTATAATAAGGTAATATAAACTGTTTTACATAACTTACATTATTTTATATTATAAGGAATATTATATTTATTATATTTGAATGTAATTTATATTTAATGAATATTGTTATATATCATAACAATGAAAATCAAAATTTCTATTTGCTTTGAAATGCATGTGGATAAGTTCATACTTTTTTTAGAACAGCTTTATTATGGTATAATTCAAAGTCAGGCATAATTAAATGGAACACAATTAATGCAACTAATCAAGACTATATTTTATGTGTAATCATATACATAAAATATATTATTAGTATATATATAATTTTAAATATACAATATGGCTCCTTCCAAAGGGTGATTTTCACATAATGCATCTACCTGCTACATTTGAAAACTATCTTTTTATCACGATAAATAACTTTGATTTACTTCTTCTGCACTTGTTCTAAATGTTGCTGTTTCTCATTATTTTATATTTTTAGTTTCTACCCTAGATTCACTTTAGTATATGATAGAATTCCCAAGCCTTATCTGCTTTTCCACACAGATCCTTAAAATATATTAGTCCAGCTACTTGTATATCAAAATATTCAGGTGATATTTTCCCAAATAGACCTGATTTCAAATTTTGTTTGTCCAGAGTTGACATATAATTGTCAATTTGTTTCCTAGATTAGGAAGATGAGAGCAGAAGAAAAGTGACTGACTGTTCAAAGTTACCTGTTGAATTTAGCAAAACCAAGACTGACTCTTTTCTAATATTTTCCAATATGCTATTGTAAAATCTTTGTAGGCTAAGGAAATTGATTCATTATTTTCTCACTTCCAACCTTCCTTACAAAATTTTGGCTGCAACAAGGAAATTGGCTGTACATTAGATTCACATTGTTAGATGGTTACCAAATTTACAAAGTTGAGAAATTAAAAGACTATATTAAAGATTGTAATATTTGTATCCTACTGTATGTGTTTCATTAAGTCCAGGTATTTCATTGAGATTTTCTACCGTCTGATCTATAACAGGTATAAAAGAAAAAAATCCCTTTTTGCTTTGAAATGTATGTGGATAAATGCATACCTTTTTAAGAAAAGGTTTATTAAGTTATAACTCAAAATCAGGCATAATTCAGTAACACACAATTAATGCAAATAATCAAATAATCAAGTCCACAGGTAAAAACATTATAAGACATGTAATTAAATATGCTATTAAAATACAGCCCATTTTTTTGCTTCTATGAAGAACTGTCAAAAATATAAATTTTGTGATAGTTAATATTGTTTGTAAACTTTGTAAAACTATAAGCAAATAATGGCAACAAGAAAACAGAAAATTAAATATTTCTAAATTTTAAATTGAGTAAATTTGTGTGCCTACTTGATAATTAATAGCATAAAAGAAGTACATAATAGAATCTTCAATGGAAAATTCTGAAATAAAAGGTTTTTATACACAGACAAATGTAAAACTATTTTGTTAAATGAGTAGAAACAAAATAAATCATAGAAAATAGGGAGGGATGGAAAGACATTTTGTTAAAAGAGTTTCTATTAAGCTTCTTAGGAATGCTTGCTTCAAACATGCTTCAGGGAAATTTACAGCAATTTTAAAGCCACATGAGCCTAGGAAATATTATTTTATAGGCTAACTTAACATGTTTCAAAAGGTCTGTGGCTTTTGATCTTTTCTTTCTTATGTTTTTCTGAGAATGTAAAACGGGAGTCTCTGAGGGGGTGGAATCTGTATTTATATATAAATCAATGAACCACACATTCTAATCCATCTGCTTCTGACAGTTCAAAATTTAAGCTCATTATGGCCAAGTTGTCCTTATTAAATATATCCATAGAAGTCCTGTAGCAGATTCTAAGCAATTGGACTTCCAGATGTAAATGCAGTATAAGCATACAAATGAGAAAATGAAGAGTTATTTCTAATTATTCTGGCCATATTGTACAAAGCACACAAATACATTCTAATGTCAGAACAACAGAAAATGTTATTTGCTAATTACATTAATATGTTTTATTAAACTTTACTGAATAATTACTTAGATTTATGTTTGTTACAAATAGTAGTTTAAAGATGTATGTTAAAACTCCATTTTATTGTTTCAATTATTTGTAAATATATATTCACTACATATAAAATACGTGTAAGTATGCTTTCATACAGAAATTCGCACAGTCATCATTAATAGTCTGTATTAAGCACTTACTGTATACAAGACACTGGGCTAGATCCTTTGGTTTCACTCAAAATTCTAAACAGCAGTACATGTTCCTAGATGATTTATAATGTACTTGTAACATTATAATGATGTAGAAAATAAATTATGTATATATTTATATATAAATTCTGTATTTATTATACACCTATAAAGCACATTATATGTATACACATATAAGGCATATTATATACATATAAAGCACAGAGGATTTTATATGTAAATTTATATACACAATTTATATATAAATATACATAAATATAGATACAGATGTAGATAAAGTAATGTGTGATAAGATGTTATGAATTTGTTTAACATAGTTGTTGCCTCAGCATCCATTTTAGGACAGACACAAGTTGTTTGTAATCCAGTCATGCCTCATCAGCTTTAGTCTAGTTAAAACAAACAAATGATTGTTTGTAACAGCACCTGCTTGTTTTTTATTTCACTGACCCCCACACAACCCACAGATGCTAATTACAGTGAAACCTAATGACCGTCACCAGAGTCCTGTAAATATGTTTCTCCTTCATGCAGGTTTATGTAAACTAGCTATTCTACAACCCTTTTGGAAAAGGATAAAAAATAATGCCTATGGTCCTTAATAAGGGCATACTTCTATAAGTTTTCTCTCTTTCTCTCTCTTTCTTTCTCTCTGTCTCTCTTTCTTGTTTACCACTTACAGGTTGAGCACCCTGCTGTCTCTGGACTTCTCATCAGCCTCTTGTACACACTTATAATCTCCCTGACCTGTGAGTAATAAACATCCTTTATTTCATGCAGTTTGGCTTCATTTTTTCATTGTATCTCACCTGACACACATATGGTAATGTTCTTCTAAGTGTTACTTGATTTCTTTAACAAATCATAAGATAATTTGTGTCTTAATTATGACACCACTTACAACACTTTAAAAGTGTTTTAGTACTTGAGTGATAGTGCAAAGTCTGATTTTTTTCAGAATTATTTCCAGAGGCCTAAATTTTCTACAAGAATCATTATTCTTTAAATGAAGCATTGATTCCAAAATGCCATAGTACCACTACAGACCTATTAGAATGATCAAATTCAAAAACACTAACATCAAATGCTAGTGAAGATGTGGAGCAATAGTAGCTTTCATTTATTGCTGATGGGTATGCAAAATATTACAGCCATTGGGAGAGATACTTTGGCAGTGTTTTACAAAACTAAACATAATCTTAGCATATGATTTAGCAATCACACCCCTTGGTATTTATTCAAATGAACTGAAAAGTTGTGTATACACAAAAGCCTGCAAAAGAATATTTATAGCAGCTTTATTCATAATTGTCAAAACTTAAAAGCAGCTAAAATGTTACTCAGTAGATGAATGAATAAATAAACTATTTTTCCTTCAGACAATGGAATATCACTCAGCACTAAAAAGAAATGAACTGGCCAGGTCTGGTAGCTCATGCCTGCAATCCCATCACTTTAGGAGGCCAAGGCAAGTGGATCACCTAAGGTCAGGAGTTCGAGATCAGCCTGACCAATATGGTGAACCACTTCCTCTACTAAAAATACAAAAATTATCTGGGCATGGTGGTGTGCACCTATAGTCCCAGCTACTCTGGAGGCTGAGACAGGAGAATCACTTGATCCAGGAGGCGGAGATTGCAGTAAGCCGAGACTGCACTACCACACTCCAGTCTGGGTGACAGAGTGAGACTCTGTCAAAAAAAAAAAAAAAAAAAAAAAAGAAAGAAAAGAAAAGAAAGAAGGAAAGAAAGAAAGAAAGGAGTTATCAAGGTATATAAACACATGCAGGAAATCTAAATACATATTGCTAAGTGAAATAAAGCTACACAGTATATGATTCCAAGTATATGGTATTCTGTAAAAGGCAAAACTACGAAGACAGTGAAAAGGTTAATGGGGTTAGTGGTTGCTGGGGTTACGGGGTAGTGTGGGAAGGACAGGCAAACCACAGAGGATTTTATAGGAGTGAGATTATTCAGTATGATATTGCAATAATAGATACATGTCATTATACATTTGTCAAAACCTATAGAATGCATAACACCAACAGTGAATCCTAACGTGAACTATTGATATGGTTTGGCTGTGTCCCCACTCAAATCTCTTTTTGAATTGTAGCTCTCATATTTCCCACATGTGTGAGAAACCGAGTGGGAGGTAATTGAATCATAGGGATGGGTTTTTCTTGTGCTGTTCTCTTGATAGTGAATAAGTCTTATGAGATCTGATTGTTTCATAAAGGAAAGTTTGCCTACACATGCTCTATCTTGCCTGCCACCATGTACCATGTGACTTTGCATCTCGTTTGCCTTCCGCCATGATTGTGAGGCCTCCCCAGCCATGTGGAACTGTAAGTCCATTATACCTCTTTTTCTTTATAAATTACCCGATCTCAGATATTTCTTCATAGCAGTGTGAAAATGGACTAATATAACTATGGACTTTTGATGTGTAGGATTCCAACATATGCCATCCTAAAATATGACTGTAGGAGATCAAAATATGCCTTTTTGGCATAAATTTTTTTTAATCTGGTTATTTTGAGAAATAGCAGACAGGAGAAATTCTAAAAACAGCACAGTTTACCGTTTTATGAGAAAAACTTTATACTTTTAAAGGAAATCTCCATTTGTAAGTGTTCCTGTGTACCAAGAAAAGAAGGATGATGAAATCACAAGAGACTCTTATCAATGGAGAAGACATTGACTTATAACTGCATAGCAAACCTTACTCTTTTTTACCCTGCATTTTCTGATTACTGTTCCATGTCTTGCCTCCTCTATACCCTTTTTTGTTTATTACAGTTGAAGATGCTAACACACCAGAGTTCTAGGCCACCTCTTTGACATTATTCATTTTTCAAGATAGCATCTATGTATATATGAGATATACATGTTAATAAACTACTGTTTCTTTTTCTCATGGTAATCTGTTTTTTGTTAAGGAACCTCAACTGTCTTCTGCTTCTAGTTATTCACAGTTTATACATGAATAACATTTTTCAAACATCAACTAAATACAAACACATAAAACACTTACTATACATATATATTTACATACATTAATTCATATAACTGCCATAATTACTTTTTAAGGTGGGTCCCATTTTTGTGCTCCCCATTTTGCAAATAAGAAAATTTCAGCATTAAGAGGTTGAACAATTTATCAAAGGCTACACAACCAGAGAAGGGGCAGGACTAGGATTTGAACTCAAGGAGAAAACATAATACATTCTATTAATTGAAATGATTTACTTTTTAAGTATGCTTTAATGTGTGTTATACTATTATACAAATATTACATAATGAATGAGTAAGAAGTGCAGGAAAAAATAGGTAAACAAATCTTTTAACTAATTATATTTTTACCATGAATTTGTGCTTTAATTCAATTTGATAAACATTAATTGAATTCTACTGGGCTCAGCAGAAGGATTTACATTTGAAAAAGTAGTTATTTCTATATGAAAGTATCTCATATTCTAATGATAAATAAATGAAGAATTTAAACGAAGGAGTTGAGAAAATTTAAGAATGTTCTGTTCGGAAAGAAAAGAACCTGCAAAGTTCAAGAAAGATGTGTGGTGTTTTACTCAGGCAGTAGGTGACACTATCTAAACTGAACTGAACGCATTGTAGACAAAATTCTCATATTAAAGCTGAATATTTTTCTTCTTATTTTAAGAAATATAATGATAATTTTCTAGCTATCTGTATTTTGTGTTGTCAGCAAATATGTCTAAAAATTCTTCATTTAAAAATGAAACTTTTTTTCTGAAAAAATGTTTATGTATATATACAAAATAACATATGTCTACTAGTAAATGACTATGTAAAATTGTAACACAGTTCTAATATCTGTGGTATAATTATCATTAACTTTACATTTAATGTAAACTAATAGTCAAGTGAGAAATATCTTTCCCAGAAAAAATCAAGGAATATGCAGAATAGAGATATATTTTTTACTAGTGATAAAAAAAAAACTTCAACTGAATTAAATTTAAAGGAGTTTAATTGAGCAATGAATGATTTGCAAATCAGACAGACTTCTAAGTCACAGTAAGCTCAAAGACTCCAATGTAGCCATGCGGTGGAAGAAGATCTATGGAGAGAAAAAGGAAAGTGAAGTACAGAAAATGAAAGTGAGGTACAGAAACAGCTGGATAGGTTACAGCTCAGCATTTGCCTTATTTGAACATGGTTTGAACAATTGGCTACATTTAATTGGCCAAATATCATTGATTGGCACAAGTGTAGGCTATGGTCTCTTTAGACCTCCACTTGATATAGTTCATGATGTACAGAAAAACCTTTAGGCCAAACTTAAATATGTCAGAAGGAAGCTTTAGGCTAAACTTGATTTAACAATTTCCCCATTTGGTAATTTTCTCAATTTTATGAGATTGACCGAAACTTTAGTCATTGATGTCACTATCACCATTGTAAATGTACTTATTTGGTCTAGAAACCCACTGGGAAATAGTAAAACTATGGGTTTTGCAAGGTGGAACAAGGACTGAGTGGAGGTTATCTCCTTATGCTGGAAAACACTGTTTATAGGAGAAAAACAAAACCATGTCTGTTCCAGAACCTATGCTTTTCCTTAAAAGTCTTAGTTTGATTACATCACATTTAGCATGAACATTCCATTTTTGCTTGATTTTGTCTGTTGGGGCCTAGTGCATGAGCTCAGTCCAAAACAATAACCTTCCATAATTGTGTTTAAATAAATTCCCCCTTTTTGGTCAGGTTCTCACTTAGGTGAAAGTGTGACCAAAAATTAAGGCCTTAGTGCCAATCTCAGTTACCACCATTTTGGGGTTCCAGTCTCAGCATGTCATTCATAGGTTATGATGTCCTCGTGGTCCCACATTTCTTGTAGCTCTTGTCATGCCAGTTGAAGAGAGACAATTTGGCATTCTAAAGATGGCTACATGCAAACATTTAAAATCTTTTAGGAAATACAACACACCAGGGAGACTACTATTATGAATATCAGGAGGATAATATCAAGAGTTTGGAGTATGCTTCTAACCCAGGGTCCCCATAAATTAAACCACCTAAAATCAAACAGACAAAAGAATGAGCCGGATGGACTCTACTCTCTTAACTAAAGAGTATCTTCGCTAATCCCCTACAACTGGATCGCTGTAATACCTGATGTAATATATTTTTCCATTGTCCACAAGGGCCAGCAGCTGCACAGATACTTCTGTTTAGCCAGAAAGTAATCTAGAAGAATTCTATTATTTAGCAGAAGTTCCCAAGAGAATTTAAAATTTTTTGTGTAACCTTAGCCTTTCCAGTAGGATCTGCAATAGATCCCATCATGGGAGATACATTTCTAATTATTGCTTCTCTGAATCCAAATCATAGAAAAAGGACCTAACAAATGATATCCATCTAGAAGCATGAAAGCCTCCTGACAATGTTCTTTTCATTAAAGTTTCAGGAATTCTTACTCAGTCCAAATGATAATGATTTTAGAGTTATTAGAAACCTATATTCAAGAGTGCTTTCAGGGTCCTTTCCATCTTTTCATGAACCTCCTAGAAGACACTATATTCTATGATTTTGTGTGTTTGTGAAGTTTTCAGAAACTGTGTCAGCATTAAGCAATTAATATGGAAATGACTTTAAATGGTTATAGTTAAAAACACAATTGACAAGGAAATTTGGCTATTTCTGTGGCCTACAATAACTTAACATAATAACCATAATTATGATTGATAACATATACTTAGACATATTTGAATGTTAGCAATCCCATGCAATTTTGTAACATATGTTAATGTCATTCACTAAAATATAACCTAAAGAAGGTGAAACATAATTTTTTGTTTTGACAATGCTTCTCATGTAACTTAACATGTTAAATAATCCTGTTTACCTCTCCTTTGGATGCTTCAGGGGTTCTCTGTAGCATCCCAAAATTAGAGGTCAGAAGAGACTATTTTGAAGCTGAAATTTGATTTTGGAAAGCCTATAAAATATGTTAAAGGTTTAGAACACTTGATATTATGAAATAGAATTCCAGATCACCATAAGTCATTCAGTTGGCCAAAATAATGACTCAAAAACCTTAAAAAGGCATAAATCATTACTCATTGAGAGAGGGACAATTTAGCTTTCAAAACAATCTGTCCCTTGTCTTTAGTTCCTTGTTCAGTATTTTATTCAAAAGTAAAACAAAAATTTGCATTATTATTTAATATTACATGAGTATCTGGTTCAAGAAAGAAAGCCAAATTTCACCTTTGCATTAGTGTACTATTAACGTCAACTCCAATCTTTAATAAAACCTTATAGACATATCTGTCAATCTTAATCAGTTTGACCATAAGGTGAGATGCTCAAAAACTTTCTCTAATCCTCTACAAATATTTGTTAAAGAGCAGATCAGTTCTTAAAGTAAACCCTGTCGTGCTTTTATTCCAATGTTCAATGTACAGAAAAAAATAAATAATACCCTTTTAAATTTAGCTAATATATATCACACAGAATTTTTTACAAGATCAATTTTTCTCGAATCCTTCACAACTTACTCAAAACTTCAGCTTTATCCTATCTGATTTAAAACAATCCTTTAATCCTCTAAACCAGGCAAAAATTTACATTTTCATGCCTTGTTATAATCTTTTATTAAAAGCATATTTCACTGTCTTCACACACCTTGCATGTACAACATTTTTTAGTAGTCTTAGTCACATGTTACAATGTCAACTTTTAGCAATTTTTATCTTTGATGAAAAGCCTGGTAAGCAAGTGATTTTAATTACGTACTAGGTTTGGAGCCTAGGTCACCAGACTGAAGTGCAGATATGGTCTGATTCTTTTCAGCATAACTAGGGGCATGGGTAACCTCATGTGTCCCAGACCTTACCTTACCAAGCTGTACAGTGGCGAGTTGAACGATTTTTAAAAGCCAAAAAAGCAGTTTATTACCTAAAATCATTTAGCAAACCTAATATCTGAACTGCTTGATTTAGACAAAATGTCTTTATGTTACCAATAATTTTTAAAGCTCTTTATTTCTGAAAGCTTATTGTCACATGAAGTAAAAGGCATTAGTTTTAATTTTTTGACAAAGTCTTTAAATTATTTGATTTGAAATCAATTTGCTTATTTTTCTTTAAGCCAATTAATTAGAGCTCTTTTATATAAACATCACAAACACAACACATATATAACTATGCATACAGACAGAAGAAGATCCAGTAGTTGTCAGATTTTTCATTTGCCAGTTTTTAACTTTCTTAAATGGATTACTGGCTTCAAGATGGAGTTCTTCAAGGAAGAGGGCCAGAAAAGCATGCATTTTCTAGGGCCTTATAAACAAGCAGAGCTTGAAGACAAAAGCAGATTTCCAAAATTAAGGGTCCCATTTTTATATCACATTCTGGATCCCCTAAAACAGAAATGCTATGGGAGAAGACAGTGTAATGCTTTTACCTTGCATTTCATTTCATGGCAACCCAGCCAATCAGCCGATTTTGCAATCAGCCCATCTTGCAATCAGCCTATCACCAATGGGAGTCTTATCTCTCAGTGCCAGGTGGGAACATTTCCATACCTTCTAGGTGGCCAAGCGTATGCATCTCTAATCCAAACATGCAAAGAGCTGGGTATCTGACATAAATGCAATTAGCCATCCCTTAAAGTACATTTCCTACCCAGTTATTACACACAAAAGTTCTCTCATAATGAGAAGTAATTTCCGTTAATCGCTTAACTCAAACTTATCAGATAACACAATGAAAAACACAACACAGCCTTACATTTTGAGAGGGATCTATATACTTTGAATTCCTGGGGTTTCACAAGAAAAACAGAGGTTTTTCCTAAAACAGGATCTATGGTGGCTACTCTGATTTTCCCAAGGAGTCCCACACTATTAGAAGTTATCTTAGGTCCTCTCAGGTGTGCATTATGAGTGGCAAGAAAAAAAAAATAAAGAAAAAACATTTCAGTCCACTGAGAAGAAAAGAAAACACCCTTTGCTTCAGAAAAATAAGATTCAAGAAGAGAAAGAAAACAAAAAAAGGCCTCTTAAATATATGTAGAGGTTGGATAGCCACTTTTAATTAAGCTGACTTTTACCCACAGCTCTTGCAAAAAAAAAAAAAAAATTCCTTGTAAATTTCTTATTACCCTACTTTAGCCAGGCCAAACAGGAACTATTCCTGGCTTTTAAATGTTACCAAAATTAACCTCATGGGTAAAACTAACAAGCTTTAAAAAAGGTTATGGCTTAACCATGAGTGTACAAGTGTATGAGGTATTTTCAAAGAGGTGGTAAACAGTTGTTACAGAAGTTGGAATCTTCAAAGATAGCTCAGAGAAAGGAAAACTTAAGAAGGGAACCTAGAAGTTGTTCATGGAGGGGAAGAGAATCAACAAATGTTAAAGGTCACACAGATATCAACAAGAAATATACTAATTCCCTAAGCCAAGATTGAACCCAGGCCACCAATTTGAAATGGCAAAGCCTTAGCTGCTGAGGCAAAGGAGCATTGGGAAGTTTCCATTGCTCTTCCCAGAAGGAGTCTAGAGCAGTCAATTTTGAGCTTGCAATGACTTTTAACTACTCAAGATAATTTGTAGAGCTGTTACATGAACCACCAAATTCCTGTTCCCTACATGGCAAAGACCAAGAGAAAGTACCACAATGTAGTTACAAGATCAAGCTCCTAAGGACATAAAACAAGATGGAGACCTCATCCAGTTTTTTGTTTGTTTCAGAGACTTGCAGCAAAGTTTGTCACTGACTAGCTTGCTGGGCCATCTTGAACAGTGAGCTTATGGAAACCTAAGCTCATGTTCTATCATAAGGTACCCCTTTCGTGACAAAACAACACAAAAAGACAAATTCATACCACAAAGTTTACCAGATTATTACAGCTTAAGAGTAGTCTCATAAATCATTTTTCTCATTAATTAAAACTTTCCAAGATATAGTGAATTTTATCATTCCCTCAACTGTTTTGCACAGAGAGAGAGCAAGAGAGAATCATTGCCTGTGGCAGGGTGTGGAAGGTGATTAGCTCTAGGAGGTTAGAGAAAAACCCACCCATTGTAGCAAACCTGAATCAAAAGTTCAGATGGCTGCTTGTTAGTCATGAAGGAGTCTTTTCCAGCAATCCCATCAGCTCTCAATTTTTCCCCTTTGAGGAGAAAATGTTTCCCATTTTCCATGGTCCAGTACATGCCTAATCCTGTCGCTCATTGCCATCAGGAAAAATTGCAAGGCAGATTTCTTTTTTTAATCAATTGGTCACTCAAGTTTTTATTTGCCTTATGTAAAGTCTTTAAATAAAAATACCGAAAACTTTTTAGAAGCTTCTGCATGCCAATAGGCATCCCTAGATGAGAGACTAATTTGGGAACTCTCATTTTCAAATGCATTTCAGTGCAGTTTTGTTCATTTGGAACATTCTACTGGAAGTAATCTTTAGTAAGATTTTGCCATTTCTGTAAGAATTTGCTGCTCAGTTCTTCAGAAATTAAGAATCCCTTTTTTACCTAAGATATTGGCTTTGCTCTCGGGTTCCTAGATTAACTTACCCAATTTTTTTTTTTCCTATCTAAGCATGTAAGAAAAATGAAACAAAGGAGTAGAAGACAAAACCCCTGTGAATTTCCAAAAAGCCAAATTTTTTACCCTCTGCAATATTACCATTTACTATTTTTCTTTCTGACCCATTCAGATGTAAGAGGCCTCTAACTGGATCCAAGCCAGTTGATTCCTTAATTAAATCCAATTATGGACCCAGTCCCGTATCTGTCATGACTTCCAAAGACAGTTTGGATCAGAAATTTGCTCAAAGAAACTGAGAGAACCCAAAACACAAATCTGTGGAGCTCCAAAATCCAGGAGAGAACATACCATTATCCCTAGCTGCTGCAATTTTTACACTTTTTAAATCTTTAATGAAAAAAATGGTTTACACTATATTATTGAACTATTATTTATTGAGCTGGATAATATACATGACCCTCTGCTTAATAAGAGACATAAATTTGAAAAACAGTGACTGAAAATTTCAAAATCTCTCTTGTGCTAACTGAATCATGTACATTTTCTTTTAACCAATGTCTTATAAGTGGTGGCAGAATTTACTTCTACACTCTTAGATTTTTTTTTTTTTAAACTGGGCCTAAGAGTTAAACTAACATAAAACAGATTATCAGGAGAAAAGCATACAAATTTATCTAATTTAATTTATAAACAGTAAGGTAGGAGGCTGGCAGGACTTATTTTCCAGTAATGATCCTGCTAATTGAAGCAGAATCTGGTTGATTCTCAGGGTGAAGTGAGGAAGCTGTCCCAAACCTGCAGATGGCAATGAAAGTGACATCTAGTTGCCCTCACTGCTTGTTAGCATAATGACACTCCCACTGGCACAATGACAGTTTACAAATGCCATGGCAATGGACCATGATAGTGGCCCAGAAGTTATCTTACATGATTCCAGAAACTCTCCTCCCTTTTTCTAGAAAGTTCTGAGTAATCTGCCCCTTAATTGTCATGTAAGCAAAAGTGGATATAAATGCAACTGCCAACAGCCCATATGCTGCCAACTCTGGGCACACTGGCTGTGGGTTAGCCCTGCTCTGCAAGGAGCAGCACTGATTCAATAAAAGTTGCCCTCTCTCACCTCTGATTCGCCCTTGTATTCTTTCCTGAGGGAAGCCAAGAAATTTCCCAGGCTAAGTCTCAATTTTGGGGCTCACTTGTCCTGTATCATCTTGGTGATCAAAAAGGGATGAAACTAAATGGTAAAATGGCAATTGGTGATTGACAAGGTGACAAGTTGGCAATTGGCAATCAGTGAGACAATGAGATGGTGAGATGGCGAGAGGTGTCAATTGGTGAAATAGTTGGGTGGAGAGAAGGTGAAAGGCAATGACTGGTGAGACAGTGAGGTGGTGAGGCAGCAAGATTATGATTGATGAGGCATAACACTGTAGAGCTGTAACTCTAGCCAAAGGCTCTTTTCAGAGCCATCATCTTTCCTGGGAGGTGGTGGAAGCAGATCTGAGCAGACAGATGGGCAAGCAGCCACAGTGTCACCTCATATAAAAAGACCCACCATTTTGGCTGGCTGGTTACAGGATCATACGCCAATCCTCTTATGGCAGCTGAGCCAGCCCAAGCTGTAAAGCTTGGGTGGAGACCTTCACCCAAGCCACACATTGGAGACAAGTCAGTATCATTTTGGCTCCTGTGGATGGGTAAGTGTTCCTTCTGCCCCCCTTTCAACATTGGGTGAGCCTGGAAATAAGACCTTGGCTAGGTAGTCCATTCAAAATCCTCTGCCATTTGAGTGCCCTGAATGGAAGCACAATGGATCAGCTTTGTCCTTGTCAGCCCTTCTCTCAGCCATTTCTCCTCTAACACCATTTTAATTTTTTGATTGGAAATTTTATTTTAATTTACCTTCCACACTGAAATATATGTTTCATTTGCAGTTTTTGCTTTAGCTCCCCATTAACTGCATTTGGGCAAGTGTAGAAGGCAGAACACCTGATTGTGAGAGCGTTCATTCTAGAAGTGTGAGTTAGAGTCCCACCTTCAGTGTTGGTCATCCTCATGTGCTCTGGGGTTTTTGACATTGGATATTGTGGTTTAGAGGCCTACTCTAGAGAGGTATTGTGAGTTAGAGGCCCACTCTAGGGGGTCTCTAAACCACCTCCGATTTTTGGTACTGCCTTGTCTGTTTTCTGCTCTAAAGTTCAAAATGATTATCTTGTCATTCTGTATTTACACCCCCTTACAGACTTTGTTTAATAAATATATTCCTTTTGTTGTATTTCATTCACTGGCAAATGCTTATAATCCATTTTCTCATAAAAAGGAGAGGAGGATAACTCTCTTCTTTAGCTTTTTTGTCAGCTTCTGTGATTTTTTTATCCTCTGGTTCTAACTGTTGTTATGGCCTGTTGCTGAAATATTTCATCTTAGAGGTATATAAAAGCAATGATTTTCTCCAGTATAACTTGATGCTGTACTCTTGTTTTCTCTTGATGTGTAGCCTTATTTTTGGCTTTTAGTCTTAGTCTTTTATATTGTTTAAAAAGTGTTTTAAGAACAAATGGGTGCCTGCCCACCATGCTTCTTGTCTGGCCTAGAACATTTAATTGACAATAAGAAGCCTGAAAAACAAATTTAGGCTGTGAAAAGAAACAGGAAGTCAGACATACCTCGCTATACCCCCCTTTTTGGAATTTAGGCCAGGTCCAAAAGGCCCTTCAAGAATATGGAAATTCTATTAAAACCCTGGAGAGAAGAATCCCCTGAGGATCAATTACAATCAAAATGGAAGGGCCCCTCTCAGGTACTTATTTTTAAGTGCCTGCCCTGTGTCCCATCCTTGATGATAAAAAAAAATGATACTTTCCTTGCGGTGCAGAGAGGACATCTTTCACATGGGAATCTCATCACTTGCTTTTAAGAAAGAGAAGGAAAGTCAGAGTGGTCTTGATGCTGTATTTTTTCAAGTGTCTTTAACTCAAAATAATCAATATCCAAGAGTAGCAGGTTTGAGGATGGCATGGTCTTAAATTCTTCAGTTTGATATGAAATTATTTACTTTATTTTTCTTTTTATTTATGAGATCAATTAATGTTTATGACAAAAATAACTAAAATGATATGGAGGTATACACTGTGGAAAAAAAAACTCTCATCCTTTTCCCATCTTATTCTTCAGAAATAATCATAGTAAAGGTTTGATATGTTTCCTTTAAGATTTCTTCTTTATCCATATACAGGAAGCATTGTTTTAGTGTCATATAACATTGTACATTGGGTTCTATGACTTACTTTTTTTTCACTTAATCATATATATGGGAACCTTTAAATATCTTTGTACGTAACTCTTTTTATATCACTTATTGGAATTCATGAATACTGGATATACTAGTATTTCTTTACTAACAATTCATTGATTGACATGAAGATTGCTTCCAACTTCTCATTGTTATAAATGATGCTGTAATAATCGGTATCTTGTGTATCTGTATGCAAAGTTAAACTTTTCTCCCACAAGGTAAGTTCTCAGAAGTATGAATACTGATTCCAAAGATAGTCACATTTTACATTTTGTTAGGTACAGTCATATTTCCTCCAGAAAATGTACCATAATTTAGAATTTTATCAAGAGTGAGTGATACCATTCCTTTCTACACCCTTGCCAGCACTGGATATTGTAAATGTTTTTATATTTTGTCAATGTGACAGATGAAACATAGCTTCTGATGCATATTTCTGGGTTTTAAAGGTACTCTTTCATATATTCAACACAGTTAATAGCTGCTTATATGTATTATGTTCTAAGAACCTTTGCAGGCACAGCAATAGGTAGGTTAAAAAAGAAAACAGAAAAAAATGTTTCATAGAGTTTACATTATAGTGGAGTAGCTGCAATTTTTATTTTTTCATTATTGCCTTTATAATAAAAATTGGCAGTGACATAAGTGACTAATGGTACAGGATATGATAAATCTATACAATGGAATATTATGGAGCCACTAAAGAAATTATGCCAATATGTATTTAATGACATGAAAATATATACATGACCTACTTTGTTAAAAAAGCTAATGTTGATGAATCTTTCAAATATAAAATTGTGACTCATAAAAATATAAACTTGTTTCAAATACTTTAACATCAACTAATTTAGGAACCTTTAGGTTGTTATAACTAATTCAAAGAAGAATTTAGAAAATACATTAACCTACGGAAGCCATAAGGAATGCTAAAATTGCTTTACAAAAATATTCCAAATTGGTCAATATACAAGTGCAATAATCAATAGCATCTCCAGTGGATTAAAATAGTTTTTCTTTGCACAAAGGTCATCTACTTTATTGCCAGTATTCTACAACTTACTGACTGGTAAAGTAACTTAAGTACAATGAAAGGCACAGATAATCCTGAATGGTATGCTTGACAAGACTCAGTAATATTTTTTGGCTGATTTCAAAGATTTATTTTCCTTTTTTCTGACACAGATTAACAAAGGGTTTAGTTGCATAGAAACAAATTTGGAGGGTGAAAAATGTTTAATAATAGTTATCAGTTGATGAAATAAATATATTCAATTTTATATTTATTTTTATGTATTTCATTTTCTAGTTTAATATTCATACTGAGGATAAATTTTTAATAACTATACAAACCATTATTGGCTACATAAATTACTACTTACTTTAAAAGTAAATTTGAATCACACAATAAACCACAGAAATACGCATCAATATATACTTATCTAGATCTGCTATACAATTTTCAAGTGAAATTTCTCAATATCCATTTCTGTGTGTATAATAAATTAAAATGACATTATTTCCTTTCTGTTTTTTACATAGAGAATGCCAGGATTAAAGGAAACCATTCACAAAATGATATTTAAAATCAAACTCACAGGGTTAACAAAATAATCATAATTTTTATACTACAGTTTTAAGGCCAGCAAACTTGTTTTCTGCTTGGACACTTTATATGCGAATTCAACATGCTCTCTGGAATCTTATTGGAATTTGAACATAACCTAAGATAATCTGATTGATTAAAAATATTGTTATTAAATTATAATACAAAGAAAAGTACATGGATCAGAATTGAAGAGTTTATTCAATTTTCAGAAACTGAACACAGTGAAACACAAATTACGAAAGAGTATATTGTAAGCAACTGAGAAGATCTCTACTGTCTACTTAAAGTCATGACCATTGCCAAGGGTATCCACTATCCTAACTTCAACCTGGATAGACCAATTTTCCTTGTTTTGTACTTTATACAAATGAAATCATATAGTAGGTAATCCTTGTAGCCTATAGTCTTTCACTCAAAGTTGTGCTTTTGAGATTTATCTACATTTTTGCTTGAGCACTGTTTTATATGTATACTGCCATTGGGGAATTTACCATGTGTTTCCCTCCAGATTTTTTTTTCTGTTTTATTTTGTGGTCCCTTTCTACCACTTCCATATATTTCCTCTATGTAGGAATTATCTTTATATAATTAATGCTGACAATTTTCAGTTATATTTTATAAATATTTTCAAGTATTTGCCTTTTAAATTTATGTTTTTCATTATTCAAAATTTTGCAGTTTCTATTTAATTGTGTACATCAATCTTTTTAAATAAAACTTTTATGATTTTGTATTATGCCTAGAAAGTCTTTCCTTACCCTAAGAGTAGAAGCACATTCTGTATTAAGTATTTCTTAAAAGTGTCATCATGGTAAGAATTGCTTTATTTTATGAAACTCATTTGATTTCCCTAATTGCACTATTTTAATCATAATACTTTAAACATTTGGAAAACCCACTGTAAGAAAATTGAGAATAGTTATGATATTAAACTGTCTATATGTGATTTAAATTATGTTTTTCACATAAGTATATATTTTAAGAACATACACACACACACACACACATACACATGCTCTGGTGAATTTGTAAAATGCTGAAAAGAAGAAAGAGGAAAATGAAGATCTGCTTTAATCTGCTACTCAAAAATCAGGTTCATATGTTGGCATATACTCTTTCAGTACATTTTTTATCCATGTATATATAATTTTGGCATTTGTGCGTACTTCATATAATGTTTTATATTCTGTATAATGAGTATTTTTCTATATTTTTCCAAAACTATTCTTTTAATTTCTATAACTTAAGTCATCACATGGATGTACAATAATTTATTCGATGTATTCTTTATTGTCATTTAGATAGCTTAAAATACATTTCAAGCAATACAGAACACTTCAGTGAAGAGGTTTGTGCCTTAATATTTGTAAAACTTTATCATTATTTCCTGAGGAGATCTTGATATGGTTTGGCTCTGTGTCCCCATCCAAATCTCATCTCAAATTGTAATTCCCACCTGTCCAGGGAAGGGACCTCTAATCCCCAGGTGTCAAGGGAGGGAAGTGATTGGAACATGGGGCAGTTTCCCCCATGCTGTTCCCATGATAGTGAGTGTGTTCTCATGAGACCTGATGGTTTTTAAAGTGGTAGATTTTTTCTGCACTCTCACTTTTACCTCCTGCTGCCTTATGAAAAAGATGCCTGCTTCCCCTTCTGCCATAATTGTAAGTTTCCTGAGGCTTCCCCAGCTATATGGAATTGTGAGTCAATTAGACATCTTTCCTTTATAAATTACCCCATCACAGGTATTTCTTTATAGCAGTGTGAGAGTGGACTGACACAGATCTATAGACATTAAAATATGTGGTGAAAAGGTATGACTTTTTTTTTTTTTTTTTGAGTTGGAGTCTCACTCTTGTTGCCCAGGCTGGAGTGCAATGGCACAATCTCGGCTCACTGCAACCTCAGCCTCTCAGGTTCAAGTGATTCCCCTGCTTCAGCCTCCGGAGTAGCTGGGATTATAGGCATGCACCACCATGCCTGGTTAATATATATATATATATATTTGTATTTTTATTATATATATTATATATTTAATATATATTTCATATTTTATATATATTTAATATATAATATATAATGTATATTTAATATATATTTAATATATATTTTTAATATATTTAATATATATTTCATATTTTTATTTTTAATATATTTTAATATATTTAATATATATTATATATATATATACAAATATATATATTTGTTTTTTTAGTAGAGACGCGGTTTCACCATGTTGGCCAGGATGGTCTGAAACTCCTGACCTCAGGTGATCCTCCCACCTTGGCCTCACAAAGTGCTGGGATTACAGGCATGAGCCACAGCACCCAGCCAGGTATGACTTTTTTGAAGTGTTTATTTTTAATATGTATTTTTCTCTTTTTTACTTTTTCTTCTTCTTCCTCTTCATCCCCCTCTTTTTCCTCTTCTTCCTTATCTTCCTCCTTCTTCTTGCTTTTCCTCTTCCTCTTCTTTTTCTTCTTAACATATTAACACTACACTGCCAAATTGCTCTGAATAAGAAATGTACCAATTTATGCTCTCAACAGTAATGAATGAGTGTGCCTACACTTAGCTGACTTTTACAAACATAAATCTAAAGTTTTTACAATCCTCTCTAATTTCATAGGAGTGTAAATTTTTAATACTGGGATATTGACTCTTACTAGTACTAATTTGTGTTAGATCAATTTTTTTTTAAGTTATGGTTTCTTCTTTTTTTGTTGTTATTGAGGCCTTATGTACTCCCCAAAAGGGCAGATTTTCATGTCTTTTTAAAAATATTTTTAACTTCATTTGCATTTAGAACTTAAATCTGAGCTTTATATTACCTTATGATGATAGGAATCAAATTTTGATTTCCTATAGCCAATTCCTCTCATATCACTTAATTACTAACATCTTCTTTTCATATTGATTTAAAATGTCATCTTTATCTGCCTCTTTTTCATATAGATAAGTATTTACTTGGAGCCTAACAGTACCTATATTTTATTAAAATGTTCATACTTATTGCATCATTCAGATAAATTAACCAACTTAAGACAAGATTACATCATTTTGAAAATCTATTTTGTATATTCTAAGCCATGAGAAAGAATTTGGGCATAACATGAACTCTTACATTAATTATAATTTTAAATTAATACTAATAGAATAAGGCCAGCACCAATATAGCATTTAGTATATACCAAGCACTGTTATTATAAGTACTTATATAAAATTAATTTGTAAATCTCATCAACTTTAGAAGGCAATATTATTATCATTATCTCCATTTTATATATTTGGAAATCAGCGTATCAAAAAGATAAGTAAATTGCCCGATGCTACACAAATATTATGTAGTAAAACCTGGTATCATTTATTAAATCTTATTATGTACAAGACATTAGCCTAAAGACATGGGATTCATTAACTTTAATTATAAAACATTATAAGTAAGCATTGCTATTCTTTTAGAGGTGAAGACAAACAGGTTAAATATAGTTAAGTACACTTGCTATTGTTACACAGATGTCAATGACAGACATACACATAAAAATTGGCCAATCTTGCTTCAAAGAGCACGATTTTATTATGCTTCTTCCGAAACTGATTAATAATCTACACTTAGTCTAGGTCTCTGGGCACATTACCAGAATTCTTCCTGACATACCCTAAATATAGTCATCAGCTGATTTTATCAGCTACCATCATTCTGTGATAAGTAACAACAAAAAAGCAAAACACAGAAAATACAATAAAGCAAAATTCTCAATCATGAAAATCACTAAGCCTTTTCTAATTATATCACTGCATTCTCAGACTTTATAACTGTGTGATTTTATACAAGTTACTTAACTTATTTGATCTCTGTTCTTTAATCTGTTATTTCATGTAATAAGTAATAATTCCTACCTTAGGTACCCAGGACAATGAATTAAATAAGAGATTAAAATTGTCTAACAAAATGTCCGAATTCCAGTAAGTACTCATTGAATAGAAGTTAGTTTAATCATTTAAAAATTTCCTTTTAATGTATTTGTTTTGAAAGACCACAGGCAGATTAGCTGAAATTCACTGTAGCATGACAAACTTAAAAACATTATTTTAGCCCAAAAGATCTAAGCAGGATTAGCGAATAGGAAATCAAAGATCTTTGTTCTCAGGATATAATATTAAATCCTTTTTTAATAAAATGTGAACATTCAAATGAAATACTTTTGTCTACAATTACTACAACATTTCTGAGGATTATAAAAGGACAGTAAATCCAACTATGGCTTTTGGCCAAAATATTTCAAATTTTCCTATTCAAAATGCTGTCTGGGGCCTGTACCAAAACTTTTACAGTTTAATTAAAATTCCACTTTTCTTAACAATTTGATAAGTATTGTCTGCAGTGATTTATAATAAAATGAATAAGATGACTATTTGTTTATTATTTTTCTTTTTCTAAAGACCTTTAACTAGACTGCCATTGGCTCCTAATCTACCTATCTTCTGTTAACAGGAAAACCAATGCACAGAATGCCCATCACCATAATGGAGAAATGTAATGTATCTTAAGATTTTGAAGCCAGTAAGGAAAAGCAAAGCTTTTCATTTTGGAAAGCATCAAATATGCACAAAAGTAGATCTTTTTGTGTAATGAACTCTTGTGTACCCATCATACAGCTTCAATAACTATCAAATAATGCTTTATTTTGTTTCATCTTAACCCAACCCACTCATCTTCCCAGTCACCAGTGAATAATTTTGAAGCAAATTCCAGACATCATTATGTCATTTCATTCATACATACTTCAGTATCTGTCTCAGCATGATAGAGATTGTGTGTGTGTGTGTGTGTGTGTGTGTATGAATGTATGTATATATACATACAGCCACTACATTTGGCTTGTGTCTACTATTTTTATTAGTATGGATTATATAACATTTATATATTACACTAAGTAGTTCTGGACTGCAGATTTGATCAGATTCAGGATCAATTGTGTGGTAAGCCTATGTCATTTGTGGGGTTTCATACTTCCATCATGGACACGTAACATTTGGCTGTCTCCCTTAATATGATAATAGCATCCCTAAGCCACTGATGATTATTGCATAGATACATTAATTAATTAGGCCTTAGAAAATATTGGTATTCAAACTTAAAATTCCTTTGTTATTAATTATCAGAAAATATTGGTATTCAAACTTAAAATTCCTTTGTTTTTAATTACCTGGAATACTACTGTACAAAGAATAATGAGAAACATCTACTTATTGAGTTTGTGGTTTTCTGGAAGTACAGTGTATAAAGTAAAGGCAAAATTAATGTTTGAATCAATTCATTTACAAATCTCCAGTGATGAACTGATGTTTTAACAACCTCCAAGAGTGACAAATTAGGATTTTTCTTATTTTGTCATGAATAAAAATCTATCAAAACTACTGAGTTGTATCAAAAGAATTTAAGAGGCAATCTGAAGAGGTTTCTAATTCTTCAAAGCATAATTCAAAGATATGAAAATTGTAGGATCAATAATGATAATTACTGAAATGGAGAGAAACATATCCAATATGTTTAAATTCATTAACTTATAATAGAACCAACACTTTTATCCAAATTCAATAGTATAGGAAGTCATAAAAAGCATAATCAAATTTCATAAAGTGATAGTAATAATAACCGTAATAATAATGAATGAGCAACTGCGATACATCAGGTACTGTTTAATGTCACTTACTAGCTTTGTAACTTAAGGTGAATCAGTTTTTCTCCCTATGCCTCAGTCTCCTTCTCTGTAACGTGAATGCAATTACAGTACATACCTCATTGTTATGTACATTAAATGAGTTAACATTTGGAAAAGGGCTAAGAATAATGCTTGGCAAATATTGTCTTATATATGTGTTTGTTATTTTTAAGAACTCACATAAAATTTATGAACACTTAATGTGCACAACAATCTTGTGGAGTAGATACTATTATTACCCTAATTTCAGAAACAAACAAATGAAAAACTAAGCACAGAGCTGTTAGTTTCTTGTCTGTGGTCATAGAATACTTAGTGGCTTTGTTTTACCACACATGAAGGATATATTTATTTCAAACTGGTAGATTAATTGTGATGGTTAATGTGACATTTCAGCTTGACTGTGCTAAAGGATGCCCAGATAACTGGTGAAACATTATTTCTAGTGATACCTGTAAGGATGTTTCTGGAAGAGATCATTCTTTTAATCAATATACTGAAAGACAATTGTCCTCACCAGTGTGGGTGGGCATCATCCAGTCTCCTGAAGGATGAATAAAACAAAAAGCCAAATGAAGAGAAAATTCATTTTCTCCTTTTGATACAGGACATTCATCTTTTCCTTCCTTTAGACATCATTGTCCCTGGTTCTCAGGCCTTCAGACTTGAACTGGGATTTACTGACGTCATTGGTTCCTCTGGATCTCAAGCCTTGGGCTTAAATTAGAACTACATCACTGATTTTCTTGATCCTCCAGCTTGCAGATAGCAGATCATGGGACTTCTCAGCCTCTATAATGGCATGAGCCAATCCCTTATAATCAATCTTTGTACATATCTGTAGATATCCAGTTAATTATTTTTCTCTGAAGAATCCTAATACATTAATTATTATTCAATAAGTTTTGGAGGAAAAAGCATGCTCAGATTTCTTAGATCAATGATATTGTTGTGAGTCTATTATACAAATAATAGAAAACTGAAATAGTATAGAGGAGAAACTCATAGCCATATTATCACACTGGGTTCCATCCTTTCCAACATTTGGCATATAACTTGCCTCCAGAAAGATTAGGATGTTCTGCCTATTAACATTCCATAAACCAAAGAATTTGATGGGACCTATTATCTATTTAAACAACTTAGGCAGATTTGCACATTAAACTATATAAATCAAAGAAAATACCCATGATAAGTTTCAATCATTTTAGAGGTTTATTTGCTAAGGTTAAGGAGCATGGCCCATGACACAGCCTGAGGAGGTCCTGATAACATGTGCCCATGTTCATTGTGTCACAGTGTGACTTTATACATTTTAAGGAGATAGAAGTTGCAGGCAAATAAATAAATCAATACATGGAAGGCATACATTGATTCTGCCTAGAAAGGCAGGACATTTCAAAGTAGGGGCTTCCAGGTCATGGGTGGATTCAAAGATTTTTCTGATCAGCAACTGGTTGAAAGAATTAAGCCCTGGCTGAAGAATTGAATTCAGCATAAAGAAATGCTTGAGTTAAGACAAGGTAGGACTTGTGGAAACCAAGGTTCTTATGTAGATGAAGCTTCCAGGTATTAGGCTTCAGAGAGAACAGATGGTAAATGTCTCTTATAAGGACCTTAAATGGTGTCAGACTCTCTGGAAAAGATCTAGTAAAGGAAGGGATTATATACAGAATGGAAATTTCCCTCACAAGAGATGGCTTTGCAGAGTCATTCCTAAATATGCTAAAGAAATATATTTTGGGGCAAAACATTTTAATTGCCTTTGGGGCCTGTTATCTGTCACATAATGCTATACCAGAGTCAGGTTGCAGTTGGGTATTGTAATGCTACAAAGAGTTTCTTTTGTCAGTGTTATAATCTCTATTTTAATGTTAATGCTGGTCAGTTGTGCCTAAACTCCAAAGGGAAGCATGTCTAACCCCCACCTCCTCATGGCCTGAACTAGTATTTCAGGTTTCTTTAGAATCCCCTCAGGCAAGAGGTCATACATTTATTTGGTTGGGAGGCTTAGCATTTTATTTTTGGTTTTCTACCACTTGGGAGAGATATTGGTGGCCCCTCGTGTACTGGTAACAATTTTTAGCTCAGGGACTAATTCTTTGTTGATTTAGTCATGACCAAGATAACACTGTTGGTTTTATTTCACAATTATGATGTAGGCATGTAGCAGGACAAGCCGCAGGCAAAACCCCTCAGACACCGAGTTGAAGAAGGAAGAGCTTTATTCGGTGGGGAGCTTCGGCAAGACTCACATCTCCAACAACTGAGCTCTCTGAGTGAGGAATTCCTGTCCCTTTTAAGGGCTCACAACTCTAAGGCGGTCCCTGTGAGAGGGTCTTGATCAATTGAGCAAGCAGGGTGTACATGACTGGGGGCTGCATGCACCTGTAATTAGAATGGAACAGAACAGGACAGGGATCTTCACAGTGCTTTTCTTATGCAAGTAACCCATTAGGTCAGGGTTCGATCTTTAACTACCAGGCCCAGGGTGTGGTGCAGGGCTGTCTGATTGTGGATTTCATTTCCCACTTTTAGTTTTTACTTCTTCTTTCTTTGGACGCAGAAATTGGGCATAAGACAATATGAGGGGTGGTCTCCTCCCTTAGCCACAGATACTTTTTATTTGAAAAAAGGATTTATGTTTAGTTTCTCAGAAGAGGAGGTGTTCATAGACTGCTCTTAAAAGATTAAAGAGGGCCCTTGCAAACATGATTTGGGGAATATCATTAACAGAACACTTATGTAATCCTACATTTGTAGAGTAAAATGGAAAAATTGACAGATAGGAAGAAAGACAGGCATCAGATATATAGAATATGTGATCCTTTCAGTCATGGAATTTACATATCAGTCTTGAAAACAAAAATAGTTATGTTAAATGATTCAGTTACAACTGAAATACAATACAAATATCAGCAAGTTTTAGATAATATTTTGGGAAATGAATGCGTTTAAACAAACTAGATGTACAATCAGAAAGAGATCAAAGGCTTCAATTTATAATCTGTGATAATACTACATAGTTTACCAAACTGGAATATTGGCTGATAAAAAGGACAGTAGAATAAAAAATTCCCTCGAATTGTTCCTCATATTCTTTTTCAGAAAAAACACAATTCATGGGTAACATATGTGGTGTTGAAAGACTCCTTTTAAAAAGAGAAACATACCTTTAAAAAGCCTCAGTCTCTTCAACTATTGGCAAATTTAAATCTACAACATACTGTCATATTTATTCCATTTCATTTCCATGATAATAAAAACTGGTCATATATAATTATTCTAGGTTGTTTATTAGTAAAGATAACATCAGGCCTCTGAGCCCAAGCCAAGCCATCGCATCCCCTGTCACTTGCACGTATACACCCAGATGGCCTGAAGTAACTGAAGAATCACAAAAGAAGTGAATACGCCCTGCCCTCCTTAACTGATGACATTCCACCACAAAAGAAGTGCAAACGGCCGGTCCTTGCCTTAACTGATGACATTACCTTGTGAAAGTCCTTTTCCTGGCTCATCCTGGCTCAAAAAGCACCCCCACTGAGCACCTTGCAACCCCCACTCCTGCCCTCCAGAGAACAACCCCCCTTTGACTATAATTTTCCTTTACCTACCCAAATCCTATAAAACAGCCCCACCCCTAACTCCCTTCGCTGACTCTCTTTTTGGACTCAGCCCGCCTGCACCCAGGTGAAATAAACAGCCACGTTGCTCACACAAAGCCTGTTTGGTGGTCTCTTCACACGGATGCGCATGAAATTTGGTGCTGTGACTCGGATTGGGGGACCTCCCTTGGGAGATCAATCCCCTGTCCTCCTGCTCTTTGCTCCATGAGAAAGATCCACCTATGACCTCAGGTCCTCAGACTGACCAGCCCAAGAAACATCTCACCAATTTCAAATCCGGTAAGTGGCCTCTTTTTACTCTCTTCTCCAACCTCCCTCACTATCCCTCAACCTCTTTCTCCTTTCAATCTTGGCGCCACACTTCAATCTCTCCTTTCTCTTAATTTCAATTCCTTTCATTTTTTGGTAGAGACAAAGGAGACACATTTTATCCGTGGACCCAAAACTCCGGCGCCGGTCACGGACTGGGAAGGCAGCTTTCCCTTGGCGTTTAATCATTGCAGGGACACCTCTCTGATTATTCACCCACGTTTCAAGGGTGTCAGACCACGCAGGGATGCCTGCCTTGGTCCTTCACCCTTAGCAGAAAGTCCCGCTTTTCAGGGGAAGGGGCAAGTACCCCAACCCCTTCTCTCCTTGTCTCTACCCCTTCTCTGCTTTTCCAGGGAAAAGGCAAGTACCCCTTCTCTCCTTGTCTCTACCCCTTCTCTGCTTTTCTGGGGAAAGGGCAAGTACCCCAACCCCTTCTCTCCATGTCTCTACCCCTTCTCTGCTTTTCTGGGGGAGGGGCAAGTACCCCTCAACCCCTTCTCCTTCACCCTTAGCGGCAAGTCCTGCTTTCCTAGGGGGCAAGAACTCCCCAATCCCTTATTTCTGAACCCCGACCTCTTATCTCTGTGCCCCAATCCCTTATTTCTGAACCCCAACCTCTTATCTCTGTGCCCCAATTCCTTATTTCCATGGCCCAACCCTTTCTCTGCTTTTCTGGAGGGCAAGAACCCCCCACCTCTTCCTGTGTCTCTACTCTTTTCTCTGGGCTTGCCTCCTTCACTATGGGCAAGTTTCCACCTTCCATTCCTCCTTCTTCTCCCTTAGCTTATATTCTTAAGAACTTAAAACCTCTTCAACTCTCACCTGACCTAAAATCTAAGCATCTTATTTTCTTCTGCAATGCCGCTTGACCCCAATACAAACCCGACAGTAGTTCCAAATAGCCGGAAAATGGCGCTTTCAATTTTTCCATCCTACAAGATCTAAATAATTCTTGTCATAAAATAGGCAAATGGTCTGAGGTGCCTGATGTCCAGGCATTCTTTTACACATCAGTCCCTTCCTAGTCTCTGTGCCCAGTGCAGCTCATCCCAAACCTTCCTTCTTTCCCTCCTGCCTGTCCCCTCAGTCCCAACCCCAAGCGTCGCTGAGTCTTTCTAATCTTCCTTTTCTACAGACCCATCTGCCCTCTCCCCTCCTCGCCAGGCCAAACTAGGTCCCAATTCTCCCTCAGCCTCCACTCCTCCACCCTGTAATCTTTTTATTACCTCCCCTCCTCACACCTGGTCCTGCTTACAGTTTCATTCTTTGACTAGCCCTCCCCCACCTGCCCAGCAATTTACTCTTAAAAAGGTGGTTGGAGCCAAAGGCATAGTCAAGGTTAATGCTCCTTTTTCTTTATCCCAAATCAGAAGCATTTAGGCTCTTTTTTATCAAATATAAAAACCCAGCCCAGTTCATGGCTCGTTCAGCAGCAACCCTGAGACACTTTACAGCCCTAGACCCTAAAAGGTCAAAAGGCCATCTTATTCTCAATATACATTTTATTACCCAATCTGCTCCTGACATTAAATAAAACTCCAAAAATTAGAATCTGGCCCTCAAACCCCACAACAGGACTTAATTAACCTCACCTTCAAGGTGTACAATAACATAAAAAAGTTGCAATTCCTTGCCTCCACTGTGAGACAAACCCCAGCCACATATCCAGCACACAAGAACTTCCAAATGCCTGAACCACAGCGGCCAGGCATTCCTCCAGAACCTCCTCCCCCAGGAGCTTGCTACAAGTGCCAGAAATCTGACCACCAGGCCAAGGAATGCCTGCAGCCCAGGATTCCTCCTAAGCCATGTCCCATCTGTGCGGGACCCCACTGGAAATTGGACTGTTCAACTCACCTGGCAGCCACTCCCAGAGCCCCTGGAACTCTGGCCCAAGGCTCTCTGACTGACTCCTTCTTGGCTTAGCGGCTGAAGACTGATGCTGCCTGATTGCCTCAGAAGCCCGGTAGACCATCACGGATGCCGAGCTTTAAGTAACTCTCACAGTGGAGGGTAAGTCCATTCCCTTCTTAATCAATACAGAGGCTACCCACTCCACATTACCTTCTTTTCAAGGGCCTGTTTCCCTTGCCTCCATAACTGTTGTGGGTATTGACAGCCAGGCTTCTAAACCTCTTAAAACTCCCAACTCTGGTGCCAAATTAGAGGATACTCTTTTATGCACTCTTTTTTAGTTATCCCCACCTGCCCAGTTCCCTTATTAGGCTGAGATATTTTAACCAAATTATCTGCTTACCTGACTATTCCTGGACTATAGCCGCATCTCATTGCTGCCCTTCTTCCCAATCCAAAGCATCCTTTGCATCCTCCTCTAGTATTCCCCCACCTTAACCCAGAAGTATAAGATACCTCTACTCCCTCCTTGGTGACTGATCATGCACCCCTTACCATCTCATTAAAACCTAATCACCCTTACCCCACTCAATGCCAATATCCCATCCCACAGCATGCTGTAAAAGGATTAAAGCCCGTTATCACTTGCCTGCTACAGCATGGGCTTCTAAAACCTATAAACTCTCCTTACCATTCCCCCATTTTACCTGTCCTAAAACCAGACAAGGCTTACAAGTTAGTTCAGAATCTGTGCCTTATCAACCAAATTGTTTCGTCTATCCACCCCATGGTGCCAAACCTGTATACTCTCCTATCCTCAATAGCTCCCTCTACTACCCATTATTCTGTTCTGGATCTCAAACATGCTTTCTTTACTATTCCTTTGCACCTTTCATCCCAGCCTCTCTTTGCCTTCACTTAGACTGACCCTGACACCCATTAGGCTCAGCAAATTACCTGGGCTGTACTGCCTCAAGGCTTCACAGACAGCCCCCATTACTTCAGTCAAGCCCAAATTTCATCCTCATCTGTTACCTATCTCAGCATAATTCTCATAAAAACACACGTGCTCTCCCTGCTGATCATGTCTGATTAATCTCCCAAACCTCAATCCCTTAAAAAAGAGCAACTCCTTTCTTTCCTAGGCATGGTTAGTGCGGTCAGAATTCTTACACAAGGGCCAGGACCACACAGTGTAGGCTTTCTGTCCAAACAACTTGACCTTACTGTTTTAGCCTAGCCCTCATGTCTGCGTGCAGCAGCTGCCACTGCTTTAATACTGTTAGAGGCCCTAAAAATCACAAACTATGCTCAACTCACTCTCTACATTTCTCATAACTTCCAAAATCTATTGTCTTCCTCATACCTGACACATATACTTTCTGCTCCCCAGCTCCTTCAGCTGTACTCACTCTTTAAGTCCCACAGTTACCATTGTTCCTGGCCCAGACTTCAATCTGGCCTCTCACATTATTCCTGATACCACACCTGACCCCCATGACTGTATCTCTCTGATCCACCTGATATTCACCCCATTTCCCCATATTTCCTTCTTTTCTGTTCCTCACCCTGATCACGCTTGATTTATTGATGGCAGTTCTACCAGGCCTAATCACCACACACCAGCAAAGGCAGGCTATGCTATAGTACAAGCCACTAGCCCGCCTCTCAGAACCTCTCATTTCCTTTCCATCGTGGAAATCTATCCTCAAGGAAATAACTTCTCAGTGTTCCATCTGCTATTCTACTACTCCTCAGGGATTATTCAGGCCCCCTCCCTTCCCTACACATCAAGCTCGAGGATTTGCTGCCACTCAGGACTGGCAAATTAGCTTACTCAACATGCCCTGATTCAGGAAACTAAAATACCTCTTAGTCTAAATAGACACTTTCACTGAATAAGTAAAGGCCTTTCCTACAGGGTCTGAGAAGGCCACCACAGTCATTTCTTCCCTCCTGTCAGACATAATTCCTCAGTTTAGCCTTCCCACCTCTATACAGTCTGATAACAGACCAGCCTTTATTAGTCAAATCAGCCAAGCAGTTTTTCAGGCTCTTAGTATTCAGTGAAACCTTTATATCCCTTACGGTCCTCCATCTTCAAGAAAAGTAGAATGGACTAAAGGTCTTTTAAAAACACACCTCACCAAGCTCAGCTACCAACTTAAAAAGGACTGGACAATACTTTTACCACTTTCCCTTCTCAGAATTCAGGCCTGTCTTCGGAATGCTACAGGGTACAGCCCATTTAAGCTCCTGTATAGATGCTCCTTTTTATTAGGCCCCAGTCTCATTGCAGACACCAGAGCAACTTAGACTGTGCCCCAGAAAACTTGTCATCCCTGCTATCTTCTGTCTAGTCATACTCCTATTTACCGTTCTCAACTACTCATACATGCCCTGCTCTTGTTTACACTGCCAGTTTACACTGTTTTTCCAAGCCATCACAGGTGATATTTCCTGGTGCTATCCCCAAATTGCCACTCTTAACTCTTGAAGTAAATAAATAATCTTTGCTGGCAGGACTCTGCTGAATCTCCTTAGGCATTCTCTAATCAGATATCCTGAGTCGTCCCAATTCTTAGACCTTTTATACCTGTTTTTCTCCTTCTCTTATTCCATTTAGTTTCTCAATTCATCCAAAACCATATCCAGGCCATCAGCAATCATTCTGTATGACAAATGTTTCTTGTAACATCCCCACAATATCACCCCTTACCACAAGACCTCCCTTCAGCTTAATCTCTCCCACTCTAGGTTCCCACACAGCACCTAATCCCGCTTGAAGCAGCCCTGAGAAACATCGTCCACTCTCTCTCCATACCACCCCCCCAAAATTTTTGCCACCCCAACACTTCAACACTATTTTGTTTTATTTTTCTTATTAATATAAGAAGGCAGGAATGTCAGGCCTCTGAGCCCAAGCCAAGCCATCGCATCCCCTGTCACTTGCACATATATGCCCAGATGGCCTGAAGTAACTGAAGAATCACAAAAGAAGTGAATATGCCCTGCCCCACCTTAACTGATGACATTCCACCACAACAGAAGTATAAATGGCTGGTCCTTGCCTTAAGTGATGACATTATCTTGTGAAAGTCCTTTTCCTGCTCATCATGGCTCAAAAAGCACCCCCCACTGAGCACCTTGTGACCCCCACTCCTGCCCGCCAGAGAACAACCTCCCTTTGACTGTAATTTTCCTTTACCTACCCAAATCCTATAAAACGGCCCCACCCCTATCTCCCTTCACTGACTCTCTTTTCGGACTCAGCCCACCTGCACCCAGGTGAAATAAACAGCCTCGTTGCTCACACAAAGCCTGTTTGGCGGTCTCTTCACATGGATGCGCATGAAAGATAACAAATGCAATCTAGAATGATTAGCTAACAATAAATATTTTAGGCTTTGTGGGCCAATAGGCAACATTAACAGAAAGGAAAACAAGTTTCTACAATATTTGTATTGATGAAATTCAAAATATAAAAATTGAGTACAATTATTTTAATGAAAATCTAATAAAAATAATGACTCTTATTGTGACTGGATATTTGCTTACTTGGGGCTCAAAGTTAGTGTTCCCTGTATCAAATCAATTGCTAATGTTCATCTGTCAACCATTCTTGACTTGAGGCCTGCATAAAAACAGGAATTGGGCTGGATTTGGCCAGAGTTCTGTAATTTGCTGACCCCCACTGTAAATGGTTTGATTTGTGAAGCAAATTAATAAATTTGTTTGAATATAAAACTTCATTTGTGTTTAAAGAAGTTTTTTTTTTTTACTCTATAATAGCTTTAAACTCACTTATACTAGGAGGACCATATATTAGATATACAATAAAACAGTAAATCTTTCCTCACCCTTTTTCTATATAACGCACTATTTTTTTTCCTCAAAGTTTTATCTTTCAAGTATAACCCCACAAGGAGTTCTCTTTGTCAAAAATAATTTTTTGTAGTGTTTAGCATTCCTTTCAGAATTTGTCTAATAATTTTCTGACGGTTCAAATACCTTTCAAACTACAAGAACAGAGGTTTTTTTTTGTTTTTGTTTTTGCTTTTGTTGTTGTCGTTGTTACTGTTTTTCCTCTCCTGAAAGCTGACTATCTTTATTTTAAAGTCTGGCTTTCAGTACAGGAGATGCAAGGAGACAGAGTAAATGAACGAGAAACACATTATGTGAAGTCACTGGCAGCAATCAAGGACAAGCCACACAAAAAGCCTGCAGGAACCAGATGAAAAGTCCTTACCGTTTTTTCATCCTCCATTTCCTCCTTTTACAGGTTACTTCTCTTCATCCACATTGCAAAAAGAAGGCTGCATGAACTAATAGGTGTTAGAAAATAATCTTTGCTTTCATTGTGCTAAATATTGGTCTGAGCAAGCCCTTAGAAATGGCATGATTGATACCATGTAATTTAGATAGAATATCAAATATCATTTCAGAATTCTAATACATCTACTCATATGAAATCAAGTTGGCTTTCTAGAAAAAATAACTAAAGTTGTGGTTTTTTCTTCCTTTCCAGTCTACTATAATCAGAGCTATCATTTGTACCAGCTACCTTTGATGTGTATTTTGTCCTTTCCTACTTACTCTTGAAATTATTGAGTAATCTGGTCATCAGATATTCAGACTCCTGTTACTAATTCTTCGGGATACAAAGTGATCTTGGGAGCAAAGAAAATAGCTTAGTTCTAAATCTAATTGGTCATCCTGGCTAGTCGCTCAGAGATAACCTTATTTTAAAGATTGTCCTGCAAAATTTATCATACTACTGAATACATGTCACCACAATTACACACTGAGCCTCAGGGAAAAGTCTACATTTTTTTGTCTTATGAGCAATTTTAAAATGCAAATCTACCCTAACTTTTATGAGGTACCATACTATATGGTTTTTAGTTATTCTTACTTTTTTTCTCCAAAATTTCAAGTACTTAATATTTTGTTTCTCAGTGCTTTTATACTTATAACATTCAAATAAAGTGAACAAATACTCATTCAAATATGAAATGAAAATATGAATGTCTTTTATTTGTAGGAGGTCATTTGACTTTTGAAGGAAGTAGGGCAAATAGAGAGAAGATCTCTATGGTTTCAAGCTAACAGTGAGAATTAAATAAATTCTTACTCAAAACAAACGCCACTTTGAAGTAAGTGAATAGAGTGATAAGCAGCTATATTGATATTGGACTGGTTGAACCATTTCTAAAAAGACTAGATCCACAGCATTATTACGGTTTGCACAAAAGCCAATTCCCCCCACATCTCTATCACAATTAAGCAATCGCTTGAATTGAACATTTCTAGATAAACTCATCTTTGAATGCAAGGGCCTGGAGACAAAGATAGAAAAGCAGCCAAGGTGCTTAACAAAGGATCTTTTTCTCTAGATACAAGAATGAATTTAAAAATGACTAGGAGAAATGACATCCAGACTATACACTCCTCAAGTCTCATCCTCTTACCATTTTTTATTAGATTTATCAAGTAAAACTTTTCAGTGAAACTGGAAAAACTGCCCCAAACACAAGGTTTTTTTTTTTTTTTTTTTATACTATAAGTTCTAGGGTACATGTACACAACGTGCAGGTTTGTTACATATGTATACATGTGCCATGTTGGTGTGCTGCACCCATTAACTCATCATTTACATTAGGTATATCTCCTAATGCTATCCCTCTCCCTTCCCCCCACCTCACAACACGCCCCGGTGTGTGATGGTCCCCTTCCTGTGTCCAAGTGTTCTCATTGTTCAATTCCCACCTATGAGTGAGAACATGCGGTGTTTGGTTTTCTGTTTTTGTGATAGTTTGCTGAGAATGAGCTTCATCCATGTCCCTACAAAGGACGTGAACTCATCCTTTTTTTATGGCAGCATAGTATTCCATGGTGTATATGTGCAACATTCTCTTAATCCACTCTATCACTGATGGACATTGGGGTTGGTTCCAAGTCTTTGCTATTGTGAATAGTGCTGCAATAAACATACATGTGCATGTGTCTTTATAGCAGCATGATTTGTAATCCTTTGGGTATATACCCAGTAATGGGATGGCTGGGTCAAATGGTATTTCAGTTCTAGATCCCTGAGGAATCACCACACTGTCTTCCACAATGGTTGAACTAGTTTAGAGTCCCACCAACAGTGTAAAAGTGTTCCTATTTCTCCACATCCTCTTCAGCACCTGTTGTTTCCTGACTTTTTCATGATCGCCATTCTAACTGGTGTGAGATGGTATCTCATTGTGGTTTTGATTTGCATTTCTCTGATGGCCAGTGATGATGAACATTTTTTCATGTGTTTTTTTTATCTGCATAAATGTCTTCTTTTGAGAAGTTTCTGTTCATATCCTTCACCCACTTTTTCATGGGGTTGTTTGTTTTTTTCTTGTAAATTTGTTTGAGTTCTTTGTAGATTCTGGATATTAGCCCTTTGTCAGATGAGTAGGTTGCAAAAATTTTCTCCCATTCTGTAGGTTGCCTGTCCACTCTGATGGTGGTTTCTTTTGCCGTGCAGAAGCTCTTTAATTTAATTAGATCCCATTTGTCAATTTTGGCTTTTGTTGTCATTGCTTTTGGTGTTTTAGACATGAATTCCTTGCCTATGTCTATGTCCTGAATAGTATTGCCTAGGTTTTCTTCTAGGGTTTTATGGTTTTAGGTCTAACGTTTAAGTCTTTGATCCATCTTGAATTAATTTTTGTATAAAGTCTAAGGAAGGGATCCAGTTCAGCTTTCTACATATGGCTAGCCAGTTTTCCCAGCACCATTTATTAAATAGGGAATCCTTTCCTCATTGCTTGTTTCTGTCAGATTTGTCAAAGATCAGATATTTGTAGATATGCAGCATTATTTCTGAGGGCTCTTTTCTGTTCCCTTTGTCTATATCTCTGTTTTGGTACCAGTACCATGCTGTTTTGGTGACTGTAGCCTTGTAGTATAGTTTGAAGTCAGGTAGCGTGATGCCTCCAGCTTTGTTCTTTTGGCTTAGGATTGTCTTGACAATGCAGGCTCTTTTTTGGTTCCATATGAACTTTAAAGTAGTTTTTTCCAATTCTGTGAAGAAAGTCATTGGTAGCTTGATGGGGATGGCATTGAATCTATAAATTACCTTGGGCAGTATGGCCATTTTCATGATAATGATTCTTCCTATCCATGAGCATGGAATGTTCTTCCATTTGTTTGTGTCCTCTTTTATTTCGTTGAGCAGTGTTTTGTAGTTCTCCTTGAAGAGGTCCTTCACATCCCTTGTAAGTTGGATTCCTAGGTATTTTATTTTCTTTGAAGCAATTGCAAATGGGAGTTCACTCATGATTTGGCTCTCCATTTGTCTGTTATTGCTGCATAAGAATGCTTGTGATTTTTGCACATTGATTTTGTGTCCTGAGAGTTTGCTGAATTTGCTTATCAGCCTAAGGAGATTGTGAGCTGAGATGATGGGGTTTTCTAAATATACAATCATGTCATCTGCAAACAGGGACAATTTGACTTCCTCTTTTCCTAATTCAATATCCTTTATTTCTTTTTCTTGCCTGATTGCCCTGGCCAGAACTTCCAACACTATGTTGAATAGGAGTGGTGAGAGAGGGCATCCCTGTCTTGTGCTGGTTTTCCAAGGGAATGCTTCCAGTTTTTGCCCATTCAGTATGATATTGGCTGAGGGTTTGTCATAAATAACTCTTATTATTTTGAGATACATCCCATCAATACCCAATTTATTGAGAGTTTTTAGCATGAAGGGCTACTGAATTTTGTCAAAGGCCTTTTCTGCATCTATTGAGATAA
This sequence comes from Homo sapiens, assembly GCF_000001405.40. Classification (NCBI taxonomy): domain Eukaryota; kingdom Metazoa; phylum Chordata; class Mammalia; order Primates; family Hominidae; genus Homo; species Homo sapiens. The sequence continues at coordinate 4,350,956 of NC_000024.10, read as the reverse complement.
TCATGTGGTTTTTGTCTTTGGTTCTGTTTATATGCTGGATTACATTTATTGATTTGCATATGTTGAACCAGCCTTGCATCCCAGGGATGAAGCCCACTTGATCATGGTGGATAAGCTTTTTGATGTGTTGCTGGATTCAGTTTGCCAGTATTTTATTGAGGATTTTTGAATCGATGTTCATCAGGGATATTGGCCTAAAATTCTCTTTTTTTGTTGTGTCTCTGCCAGTTTTTGATATCAGGATAAATGATGCTGGCCTCATAAAATGAGTTAGGGAGGTTTCCCTCTTTTTGCAATCTGTCTGGTCCTGGACTTTTTTTGTTTGGTAGTCTATTAATTATTGCCTCAATTTCAGAGCCTTTTATTGGTCTATTCAGGGATTCAACTTCTTCCTGGTTTAGCCTTGGGAGGGTGTATGTGTCGAGGAATTTATCCATTTCTTCCAGATTTTCTAGTTTATTTGTGTAGAGGTGTTTATAGTATTCTCTGATGGTAGTTTGTATTTCTGTGGGATCGGTGGTGATATCCCCTTTATCATTTTTTATTGTGTCTATTTGATTCTTCTCTCTTTTTCTTCTTTATTAGTCTTGCTAGCAGTCTATCAATTTTGTTGATCTTTTCAAAAAACCAGTTCCTGGATTCATTGATTTTTGAAGGGTTTTTATGTCTCCATCTCCTTCAGTTCTGTTCTGATCTCAGTTATTTCTTGCCTTCTGCTAGCTTTTGAATGTGTTTGCTCTTGCTTTTCTAGTTCTTTTAATTGTGATGTTAGGATGTCCATTTTAGATCTTTCCTGCTTTCTCTTGTGGGCATTTAGTGCTATAAATTTCCCTCTACACACTGCTTTAAATGTGTCACAGAGATTTTGGTATGTTGCAAACACAAGTTTTTGTTTTGTTTTGTTTTGCTTAGTTTCCTATTTTCTAATTTTAGTGAATACACTGTAGGTGTATATATTTATGGCATACATGAAATGTTTTGAAACAGGCATGCAAAGTGAAATAATTACATCATAGTGAATTGGATATCCATCTCCTCAAGCATTTATCCTTTGAGTTGCAAATAATATGATTACACTCTTTTAGTTGTCTTTAAATGTACAACCAAGTTATTGTTTACTATGAGTTACTCAACCTTACATCATTTTTGGAAGTTCCTAGCATTGGTCCAATCTGCCTGTTTCTAAACAATTTTGAGTACCATGCACAGATTAACAAATAGCAGTAAAGAAAAAAAAAGTTGATTTGTTTTACATTCTTCTATGAAGCTCAATCAGAAGAGAATATTATTTGATTCTGGGCCTTCAGCTTGTTGTAACATGCAGTGTGGGATATTTATGTTTAAATTTATCTGGCTTTTTAAATAGGAGAACCAATTTAAATGAATTTTCAAAAAGAGACTTTAGGAATTATTTGAGGTAGTGTTGTTGGCAATATAAATGAATTTCATTCATACCCACAAGAAGAAACTTATATCAGCAAGGACACTAAAGTACTATTTATGCCAAATTCTGTGCCTTGTTTTTAAACTTGATATTACTGAGACTTTCTGCAGCATTTGACATTATTGACCACTTGATATAATTTTGCTGCATCCCCACCCAAATCTCATCTTGAATTGTAGTTCCCATAACTCCCACATGTTGTGGGAGGGACCTGGTGGAAGGTAATTGAATTATGGGGGCAGTTACCCCCATGCTGCTGTGACAGTGAGTGAGTTCTCATGAGATCTGATGGTTTTATAAGGGTCTTTGGCGCTTCTCCTTCCTGCAATCATGTGAAGAAGGATGTGTTTGCTTCCCCTTCCGCTATGATCGTAAGTTTCCTGAGGCCGCCCAAGCCATGCTGAACTGTGAGCCAATTAAACCTCTTTCCTTTATAAATTACCCAGTCATGGGCATTTCTTTATAGCAGCATAAGAATAAATGAACACAGTAAATTGGTACTAGGAGGTAGTGGGGCTCTGCTGTAAGGATAACTGAAAATGTGGAAGCAACTCTGAAGCTGGGTAACAGACAGAGGTTGTAATAACTTTGACAGCTCAGAATAGAGAAAAATGTGGGAAAGTTTGGAACTTCCTGGAGACTTGTTGAATGGCTTTCACTAAATGCTGATAGTGATATGGACAATGAAGTCCAGGCTGAGAGGATCTCAGATGGAGATGAGGAACTTCCTGGGAACTGAAATAAAGGTGATTCTTGCTATTCTTTAGCAAAAAGACTGGTGGCATTTTGCCCCTGCCCTAGGGATCTATGGAACTTTGAACTTGAGAGAGATCATTTAGGGTAACTGCTGAAAGAAATTTCTAAGTGGCAAAGCATTCAATAGGAAGCACAGCATAAAAATTTGAAAAATTGTAGCCTGATGATATTGTGTGTGGAATTGGTGGGTTCTTGGTCTTGCTGACTTCAAGAATGAAGCTGCGGACCCCCTCAGTGAGTGTTACAGCTCTTAAGTGCATCTGGAGTTGCTCATTCCTTCCGGTGGGTTTGTGGTCTCGCTGGCCTCAGGAGTGAAGCTGCAGACTTTTGCGGTGAGCATTACAGTTCATAAAGGTGGCACAGACCAAAAGAGTTAGCAGCAGCAAGATTGACTGCGAAGAGCAAAAGAACAAAGCTTCCACAGTGTGGAAGGGGACCTAAGCAGGTTGCCACTGCTGGCTCGGATGGTCTGCTTTTATTCCCTTATCTGGCCCACCCACATCCTGCTGATTGGTCCATATTACAGAGAGCTGATTGGTCCGTTTTACAGAGAGCTGATTGGTGCGTTTACAATCCTTTAGCTAGACACAAAAGTTCTCCAAGTCCCCACCAGATTAGCTAGACACAGAGCACTGATTGATGCATTTACAAACCTTTAGCTAGACACAGAGTGCTGATTGGTGCGTTTACAATCCTTTAGCTAGACAGAAAAGTTCTCCAAGTCACCACTAGATTAGCTAGACACAGAGCACTGATTGGTGCATTTATAAACCTTGGCTTCACTTTTCAATGGCACTCACCATGGGTCTTTGCGGCACCTAGCCCAGGCACTCTGGCAGCCCAGAGGGAGCTCATCCCCCAGTCAAGCCCAGCAGTCACCGGCCGGCCTTCCTGAGTGCAGGGCCCACCAAGCCCGTGCCCACCTGGAACCCACACTGGTCTGCGAGCGCGGCACACAGCCCCGCTCCTGCCCACGCCTCTCCCTCCCCACCTCACGGCAAGCAGAGGGAGCTGGCTCCAGACTCAGCCAGCCTCAAAGGCCTCCACCAGATGCAGCAGCAGGCTGAAGGGCTCCTCGAGTGCAGCCAGAGTGGACGCCGAGGCCGAGGAGGTGCCGAGAGTGAGGGCTGCTAGCACATTGTCACCTCTCAATATGACAGAAAATAAAAACATTTTCTGGGGATAAATTCAATCCCACTGAAGAAAATTGCATTAATAACAGAGAGTCAAATGTTAACTAGCAAGACAATGGAAAAAATGTTTCCAGAGCATTTCAGAGACCTTCATGGCAGCCCCTCCCATCACAAGCCTGAAGGTCTAAAAGGTAAAAATGCTTTCCTGGACCTAGCCCAGGACCCTCCTGCTTTGCGTAGCCTAGGGACATGGTGCTGTGCATCCCAGATGCTTCAGCTCCAGCCATGGCTAAAGGGGGCCAAGGTATAGCTCGGGCCATTGCTTCAGCCCCAAGCCTTGGCAGCTTCCACATGGTGTTGATCCTGCAGGTGTGCAGAAGACAAGAATTGAGGTTTGGCAACCTCTGCCTAGATTTCAGAGGATGTATGAAAATGCCTGACTGTCCAGGCAGAAGTTTGCTGCAGGGGCAGAGCCCTCATGGTGAATCTCTTCTAGGACAGTGAGGAAGAAAAATGTAGGGTTGGAGCCCCCACACAGAGTCCCCACTGGGGCACTGCCTAGTGGAGCTGTGAGAAGGGGTCCACCATCCTCCAGACCCCAGAATGGTAGACCCACTGACAGCTTGCACTGTGCACCTGAAAAAGCTGCAGGCACTCAACACCAGACCATGAAAGCAGCTAGGAAGGGGGCTGTATCCTGAAAAGCCACAGGGGTGAAGCTGCCCAAGGCAGTGGGAGCCCACCTCTTGCATCAGCATGAACTGGATGTGAGACATGAAGTAAAAAAATATCATTTTGTAGCTTTAGGGTTTAATGACTACCCTAATGAATTTCAAACATGCATGGGGCCTGTGACCCCTTTGTTTTGGCCAATTTCTCCCACTTGGAGAAAGTGCATTTTACCAATGCTGTACCTGAATTGTATCTAGGAAGTAACAAACTTGCTTTTGATTTTGCAGGCTCATAGGTGGAAGGGACTTGCCTTGTCTCAGATGAAACTCGGGACTTGGACGTTTGGGTGAATGCTGGAATGAGTTAAGACTTTGGAGGACTGTTGGAAAAGCATGTTTGTGTTTTAAATTGCAAGAACACGAGATTGGGAGGGGCCAGGGATGAAATAATATGGTTTGTCTGCGTCTCCACCCAAATATCATCTTGAATTGTAGTTTCCATAATCCCCACGTGTTATGGGAGAAACTTGGTGGGAGGTAATTGAGTCATGGTGGTGGTTACCCCCATGCTGCTGTTCTCATGATAGTGAGTTCTTACAAAATCTGATGGTTTTATATGGGATTTTTCCACCTTTGCTTAGCACTTCTCCTTCCCACCGTCATTTGAAGAAGGCTGTTTTTGCTCCCCCCTTCTGCCATGATTGTAGGTTTCCTGAGGCTTCCCCAGCTGTGCAGAACTGTGAGTCAATTAAACCTCTTTCCTTATAAATTACCCAATCTCAAGCAGTTCTTTATTGCAGCATGAGAACAGACTAATATACCACTTCATCTTTTTGAAACTATTTTCTCTTTTAGCTTCTATGTCGTTATCTTAGATTTTTACTTCTTTGAATATTTCTTTTCCATTTTTTTTCATTGGCACATTCTCTTTTCCTCACTTTGTGAATATTGGTGTCCTACTTAATCCATGCTGCCTTGCCTTCTCACTCTTCTTACTGGGTATATCCCATATTAGGAATTCCAGGGACTAAGGGAATTTGTCTTGATATGTATAAGCTTAATAATAAGAAAATATGGGTATATATTATAAGAGAATACACACACACTCTCACACACACACACACACACACACATATTCTGTCTTCTATATTCTGTAACAATCTTTCCTAAAAACTCTTGCCATATAGGTGGCAAAATAAATGGGTAAATAATAGTTGTAGTATATGTGCTGCTATTTCAACTAATCCAGCGTTCACCTAAAGTGCTACAGATAGTGAATTGTTTATATTACATACAAGATAAAATTAAGTGCATTTGACACTGAGATATGTTATGCTCTCATTATGAAGGACAGTCATAAACTCTTCCGTGATCAAACAAAAAAAGCATAGTGAAAAAGATAAATCTTCTGGAGTTATTAGCTAAGCAGGGAAAATGTTTGGTAATCTTTGTAAACAAGTGTATGGTGGAATTCTGTGAAGAGTAATGTTATAATTTTTAGAGAAAATGTTAGAATCATGGAGAAATTGTTTAGGTTTTTAATTTTTTCTTTTGAATAAAGAAAATAGATGAAACCTTATACTAATAAGTATACGATTCTTTCTTTTGTTTTAGTTTTGATAAGCTTTCTTTCACTAAGCACAATAAAGAAATATAAAGTGGTTAACATGTGAATTGAGTTGGCCTTAGGAGAATCAGACGATTAGAAATGAGTACCAATTCTGATACTAGCATCCTTCAGAGTAATGGGGAAGTAACTAATAGATTCACATTTCTAAAGACAAAAAAGTCTAAAAAAAAAAAAAAACAAAGACAGACATGAGAGAAGGCACTCATTTTATAACCATCATCAGCCGCATTCAACACAAAGAAGTATATATTCTAAAGGAACCAATGGTAAGAGTTCAGGAGACATTCACAGCACTTTAAATAGAAATGCCTGAAACAGCCGTGGTGGATGCATGTCCTAGAAATGGATAAGAATAGAGCAAGTGATGATTGACTAATATTTTATGTTTTTTTAACAACGAATAGAAGATCAATGTAGAAGTTTACCAGTAAGATGGCATGCCTTAAGTAATAGAAGGCCTTAAGTAATAGAAGCAAACCCTGATGAAGGCTACAAAGTAAGCGCAAGTACCCACGTAAAGACGTTAGGTCAAGGTGTAGCCCCTTGCAACACTTGTAATGAGAAAAAAGAGATAGCTCAGGAAACATATATTTATTATTTAAAAAATCATAATATTTCTAGAACTAAAAGTAGAATTTCTCTAAATTTCTATATGATGAATCTCAATAGATTTTTAAGAATAATGGTATTTCTTATTTTAAAATAATTGATTTTCCCATATAATGGCCACAACCAAATTAGAACATTACAAATTACATGACCATATTTAAACATTCTCTGTTTTTGTCATGCCTTCTAAAACATTCAGTAATAAAATTACTATGGTTTTCTAAGTATAAGAAAATTTTACATGATCTTAAATACACCTTGTGTGCCTTACAAACAAAGAAAAAATATTAGTAGAGCAAAGACTTTACTATTTTTTTTTAGGAGAAACTAGTGACAATGGATTTAGGATAGTGTTTCTAAAGTTTGGCCCATCTGCCACATGAATCAGAATTACATGGAGTGCTTATTAAATATTCAGACTCCTAAGATCCTTCCCAGATGTACCATATTAAAACCACAAAGGTGTGCCTAGAGAATCTCCATTTTTCACAATTCCATAGGTTACTTATTTTAAAAGCATTAATATATTAGAACAATTGTCCTACTGAAAATCTTTGGCTTTAGCCGAAGCTATCGCCAAGTCAAACCTCTTTTGAATCTGTACCACAGAGGGTTTATAAATATAGATGAAAAAAAAAAAGGCACGGCAATATAATACTGAGGAGTTTTTATTTGAAATCAAATTAAGAAAGAGGTTGGACTCCTCCAGTTTAAGCAATGTAAAGATTTCTCAGCTAATCAATATTTTCTAGTTTGGTAATAAAAAATTAAACTGGTTTAATTAAATAAAAGTGAGTCTATATTTATATTGCAACTAATGAAATGATCTATCCTTCTAAAATCTTATAGATTTTTTTGCTATATTCTGAATAACCTAATGAGATTGGGGATGGCTTTGAGGGATGTTAAATTAATACCGTATCTGTTAGCAAATATTTGTAAAAGACAGATATCAAATTATGGTCTAAATTTTGACTGCTCTTGAATTGTTATTTCTGGTGAATAGAATTTGGATTGATGATTCTTTTCCTTTTTTGTAAACTTTTTTTTGAAGTGTTTAAGTTCTTAATGAACACATTATTTTCACAAAAACAATTTTAATTTTCTTTTTATTTTGAAGAAGGAAATATATGAAAGTAGTCAAAGTAAAATAAACATTATTCTCATGATTATGCTTTAATTTGACATCGAATTTATTTTTAAGTGATTTTCTGAAAAAGATGAATAGTTTAAAACATTGATTCATTATTTACAAAATAAGCAAAAATGACTTGCATGTTATAATAGTTTTCATTAAATATTACATGCAAATACAGCATATGGAATACGTATTATTTTATGTTAATTATTCCCAACATAATTTTTTAACAAACAGGAATTTTATGCGTATTATATCCAATACTATTAGTATGTTCTTAGGAAAATTTCTAGCATACATCCTCCAAGATAATTTTTCAAGAATTATCTAATATTTCTCCTTTTAAAAAGTTCAGAGATATTTTATTCACATAGTATCTTCCTCCAAGCAGTTTAAAGCTTACAGACGTTCTACCTATTTAAATTCTATATTATGTTCTGCAAAGTAGGATATAGGTAGTTTGTTGTATTTTACCTTTTTTACAGTTTTTTTGGAAAAAGACACATCATATTTCGAATAGAAATTAACTACCAAAGTAAAATAATAAAATCTCAGTCTGCTGAGTCCCAGTTTATTGCTCTACATGATATGCACGCTTTTCACTGCGCCCTAATTTTACTAACTGTTTTACATTTAAAAAATATTTATCTAAATGGAAAAAATCATGCATTAAATAAGGGAATAAAAAATCTGAGTGAATAAATTTCCTTGGTATCTAATCCCTAGACTTTATCTTCCATCTACTGAATAGAAACCATTGACAGCTGTGACAGATGCCATTGGTTGTTTGCCATACAGATGATTTCTTTACCGTCATATTGTCTTCACCTCTTTGCTTGGTAACTGATTTTGTGTTTAAATCCACCCTCTCATGCACCTTCTCTTCCCTTCCCTTTCTCCTGGGGTGAACACTGAAAAGTCTAAAACAATCATGACATTACTATTTCTTTGATCAACATTTGGTCTAGGCAATAGCATGTGATGCAATCCTGGCCAAGGAGACAGAAGGGGCCCGTTGTCTGGGATACTTCATTTAACTGTAGCAGCCATCTTGTGACCACAAGAAGCAGACCAAAAGCCCTAATATGTGTGAAACTGAATAAACTAACCCTGAAAATGCACGGCCTGCGGGTAAGACAATACATGTTCTCATCATTTGAATCATTCTAATTTGATATTTTCTTTCTTGCAATCAATCACATTCATACTGATAATATACCTAAAGGCTTCTTAGTAAGTATACATAGCTCATTCTATACTGACGCCATCATCAATAATATTCTAATTTTCCCAAGGCCCTTACCAAAGCTTTTGTTCAGGTTAAGTTCCATTGACAACTATAACCTCTTTTCAAAAGTTTCCCCACTTATATTAACACTCTCATGCAAACCACTTCAAATACTACAGATACCAGTTAATCAAAGGTGGTATTTGATTCTTCTTCAAATATTTCTGATGATTCCAAATTCTTGTCAAAGAAAACATAAAAAAAGTTTGTGAGTTTAAAAGTACTCTATCTTCTTACCCTTAGTTTAATTAATTTCACTTATATATACAACTCTAAATAGGCTGTTTGAATAATTCTAATTCAGAATCACTTCATAATCATGCTTTTTATTTTCAGGAATTTATTTGTATATAGTCATATCATTTTTTTAGCTAGAATTTTGTAGAGGTTGAAACTGAGGTTAAGGAAATTTAAACTTACTCAACCTGCACAATTTATCATTGTCTTCAACTTCACTATATTCATTTTAACTAGTTATTTTTTAATAAAAATGGAATTATGTTCTATATACTGTTCTGCAATTTACTTTTACCATGCTTCTAAGGATAAGCATTTGACTTGTTTCCAAATGTTTAGTATTTTAAATAATGGGACATTTAATATTTTGCTGACTTGCATAAATTCCAAGTAGTGGGAAGTGCTGAGTTCAAAGGTGTAAACATTTATGATAGCCATAGATACAGCTGAATTGTCCTGTAAATCTGTTAGGAGATTCCCATTTCCTCACATCCTCACCAAGAATCAGAAGACTGATCTTTTTTCTGTTTTTGTCAATATGATAAAAAATTTTCTGTTTACCTTCCATTTTCGGGATTATAAGTGATGCTGTGCATATACGCCACTTGTACTTATTTATTTTGTAGGTAAATTGTCTAATTATTTCACTCATTTTATTTTTCTTTTTTTTTTGCTTCTTCATTTTGTTCTTTTACAATTACTTTCTTATTGCCCTGGGTACTAGTTATAGACCCATAGAGACACTAGATATTATAACTATGTGCTAGATAGAAACAAAACCAAACAATACATTTAAAATAAGCTATAAAGAGTCATTTCAATGAAGTTCTGCATATGTTTACAGGAAACAATGCCTTGCAACAATTTTTCAAAAACCTCATAAGTGCTAAGTAATTATTTCCTTAATAACCATATTTTCTTGGATATTTTCATGAATCTATTCTAGATTAAAACTCTTCATTTAACAGACACACAGAAAAATAACAGATAACAGAATTTGGATTTAATGGAAGAATGCTAGTACAATGGAATGATGTGAAACTAACTGATGATAAATCATAATGATATCTTCAGGGATTGGTAAACTACTGTCTGAGTAATATGCCTACTTTTGTAAATACAATTTCACTGGAACACAGCCATGCTGATCCAATTATGTATTATCTATAGCTGCTTTCCCAATATGAAAAGTTGAGAAATTGCAACAGAGCCTATATGGCCTGCAAGGCTGAAAAGGTTTATTATCTGGGAAGTTAAAAAAACTGCTGACTGATGCCTTATATTTCAAAATATTTAACAGCTTTTCAAAAATTTTTCAAATATATTCAGTACCTCAACAAAATCTAATACTATTTATATCTACAATGTCACCTTTTACTGCCTAAAACTAGAATGATGCATGTCTCCTTAAACAAACTGGTAAAAGAAATGACAACCACGATCAGATTGAAGCCAATAACAAAGTAATGTTCACTTAATAGAGATGAACTCACTTTTTGGTGCTCTCTCTCTCTCATCTTTCTCTTTATCTGTCTATGTATTTCCTTTCTTCCCAGATAATTTTAGAGTTGTATCTTTGGACAGAATTTAGCCTGCAGCCTTTCTCTGTACTGTGTGAGGATCAATTATCCACGATAGTTTACTGCAAGAATGGAAAAACCGTGTGACTTCCTGTGATAATACAAATAAAGCAGTAAGATAAAAGCTAGCTTTTCAGTTTATACTATGAAATGAAGTAATTTTCTTTTGGAAGGGTCATGAAGATTTCTAAAATAAATACAAGATTTGTTTATATGAATGAAGAAAGAAAAGAAAAGCTATACGTTAAAATCAGGAGCTTGCAGAAGAACACACAAGCTTGAAAATGCCAGATTTTTCAAGATGCAATAAATATCCAATGGAAAAAACTAGAAAAGATATTTAGCTACAGGAATAAAGCTAGAGGTGGTGGAGTGAATATCTGTTAGTGCAAATTGGTACAAACTATACAAATAACACTTCATATTTAAAGGTTACATCTGCCCAAATTTGAGGGTTGTTTTGCTAATTTTTGTAAGTATGGGATTTTGATCAGTACTTGATAAACTCTTTGACATGTTTAACCTTTTAGCATTTTTTTTTTTTTTTTTTTTTTGAGACGGAGTCTCGCTCTGTCGCCCACCTTTTAGCATTTCTTGCAACATAGTCTTCAACTTCTGAATTTAGAGGGATGGACTCATCACTACCATTAGCACAATTACTGAGCTTCTGTGTGAGAGGCTAAATGTTGTCATTACCCACATACAAATAATTCCTAAGTCACAGCATGCACAGCAGAAGGATCAGAGAATAGCAAGCATAAATCTTGGTGATGTTATGGGCTCTGTGGCGGACACCAATTATTATTTTGAAATACTTGTATGATTTCTTCATTTATTAGCTAAACACGATGTCTATGCTAACTTTGCTAATGTTCTCTATCTTAGAAAATGTGCAACAGTTGCAGTCAGCAGTTTGCCTGTACGCCAGTCAATGCTCTTTGAGCTTCTAGTAACAAGGAAACAAACATTTACTACTGTGGAAATTATCTATTTGTATTTTAGTGTGTACTATATATGAACATATAATTTACATGATGGGTTAACTTAATTTCTCCAGGCACACCTAATACAATGACAAATAAATAAGACATCTTAAAATGTAAGAATCCTAAAATTAAGGAAAGGCAATATAAAAATAGACATTGAAATTACCCTATAATTTTAACTTTCTGGTAAACTGTGCATAATTTGGTAAAGAGAGAATCCCTACTAAGGAAATTATGAAGTGAGATCCTACTGGATAATGTGTGCAGAACCACTTATTTGGACTCATTCCTGTCTCTTCAGAAACATTTATCTGGCAATTATCCTCTTCTCTTGCACTTTTAATTACTCTCTCCTTATCAGTCCCTTCCTTGTGCTACAAGTATGCTCCTGTTATTTCATCTTAAAAATGTTTTAAAGTAATCTTCTTAACACTAGTGGATGCTAAAGTTATGCACTTCCCCTCTTCCTTCCATTGCAACACATCTTAGGAGAGAAACCTGCACTGCATTATACCTTTGGCTTCACATCCATAACCTCCCACACTACTGGCTTCACGTCCATAACCTCCCACACTACTGAAGGTGTTTTCTGTAAGGTCTCTGATGATTCCTTACACACAATATTTAATCATTTTTTAAAATGTTTTCACTCTCACTGGGCTCTCTGCAACACTTGCTGCTGCTGTCATTCACACTACTCCATCTCATTGCAGTACATTCTCCATTCCAGCCACAAGTTGCCACTAACTATTTAAGTATACTCTGTAGGTGCATTTCTTCATAACGTTACCTTACAACCTTACAGTGAATTGTTCCTATTACCCTACCCTGCCATTTCTTCCATTTAATCTCTTTTATGGTTCAATTCACTGATCTAGGAAATCTTTCCTGATTCTCCCTCATTTTCCTCCTTCATTATAAATCACTTCCTCCTCTTTTTTATCTTTTAAGATGTTTTTAAAGCAGTTTTAGGTTTGCTGGAAAACTGAGAAGAAGGTAGAGATATTTCTCATGTACCCCTTCTTTCAAACATGCAAAGCCTCCCCCATTATCAATATCCCCCGCCAGAGTGGTACATTTGTTACAACTGATGAAGCTACATTGACACATTGTAAATACCCAAAGTTCATAGTTTACCTTAGACTTCACTCTTGGTATTATACATTTTACAGATTTGGAAAATTATATAATGACATGTATCCCTCTTTATAGGATCATACAGATTTTCACTCCCCTAAAAATCTTCTGTGCTCTGTTCATTCATTCTTCTTTATCCAAAACCACTAAAGCACTAATTTTTTTACTGTCTTCATAGTTTTGCCTCTTCTAAAACGTCATGTAGTTGGAATCAGATAGTATGTAGCCTTCTAATATTGGCTTCTTTCACTTAGCAATGTGCATTTAAGAATTACTCTATTTATTTTTATGGTTTGATAGCTCATTTCTTTTTAGTAATAATAATATTCTGTGTCTTGATGTACCACACTTTATTCGGTCACCTCCTGAAGGACATCCTCATTTCTTCAATCTTTTGGCAGCCATGAATAAAGCTGTTATAAACATCCTTGTGCAAGACTTTTTGTGGACATACGTTTGCAACTCATTGAGATCAATACCAATGAGCATAATTGCTGGATAGTATGGTAAGAATATGTTTAGTTTTATAAAAAATTGTCCACCAATAGGGCTGTAACATTTTTTATTCCGAACAGTAACAAATGACAGTTCCTGTTGTTTCACATCCTCACTAGTATTTTATATTGTCAGTGTTTCAGATTTTGGTCACATTGATAGGTATGTAATGGTATCTCATTGTTTTTATAATTTTTATTTCCTTAATGTCATATGATTTGGAACATGATTTCATATGCTTGTTGCCATCTGTATATGTTATCTGGTGAACTGTCAAAGTCCAGCTTGTTTTTCAGTCAGGTTGTTTGTTTTTCTTATTTTTGAGTTCTAAGAGTTCTTTGCATAGTTTGGAAAACAGTCCTTAATCAGATATGTCATTTGCAAATATCTTCTCTCAGTATGTAGTTTGACTTCTCATTCTCTTGACATTGTCTATCATAGAGCAGAAGTTTTAAATTGTAATGATTCCAAGAGTTTACTAATTCTTTCTTTTTTGGATTGTGCCTTTAGTGTTGTATATGAAAAGTCATCACCATACCCAAGGTCAAATAGGTTTCTTCTATGTTATCTTCTAGGAGTTTCATAGTTTTGCATTTTACTTTTGAGTCTATGATTCATTTTGAGTTCAATTTTTCATGTGGCTATCTAGTTGTTCCAGACTCATTTGTTGAAAGACAGCCCTTGCTCTACTGTATTGCATTGGCTCCTTTGCCATAGTTCAGTTGACTATATTTATGGGCTTTATCTTCTTTGCCATTGATCTATTTCTCTGTTCTTTGCCCAATACCATATTGTCTTGATTATTGTATCTTTACAATGAGTCTTGAAATGAGGTAGTGTCAGTCTTACAAATTTGTTATTTTCCTTCAATATTTTGTCAACTATTACTGAGTCCTTTGCCTCATCGTATACACTTTAAAATAAGTTTGTTGATACCCACGAAATAACTTGCTAAGATTTTGATTAGGATTGCATTGAATCCCAATTCAAGTTGGGAATAAGTGACATTTTGACAACATTGAGCCTTTCTATCCAAAAACATGAAGTATCTCTCCATTTATTGAGTTCTTTGATTTCATTCAAATGAGTTTTTAAAGATTTTTCTCATATAGATCTTCCATATAGTTTTAAATGTACACCTAAGAGTTTGTTATTTTGGCTGTGAATATAAATGACACTATGATTTTACTTTCAGATTCTACTTGTTCATTACTAGCATATAAGAAAGCGACTGACTTTTGTACATTAACCCTTTATTGTGAAACCTTGCTATAATTGATTATTAGTCCTAATTTTTTTTGGTCAATTGTTTCAGATTTTCTACATAGATGATTATATTATCTGTTAACAAAGACAGTTTTATTTCTTTCTTCTCAATCCATATACATTTTATTTCCTTTACTTGTTTTATTGCATTATCAAGAACTTTCAGAAAAACAATGAAAAGGGGTGGTAAGATGAGACATCTTGCCTTGTTCTTGATATTAGTGGGAAAGCTTCCAGTTTATCATCATTAATATGATGTTATCTGTGGAAATTTTTGAGACATTCTTTATCAAATTGATAAAATTATCCTCTATTCTGAGTTTACCAAATTTTTTTTTATCATGAATGGTTGTTGGATTTTGTCAAATGCATTTTCTGAATCTATATGTATTTCCATGTGATTTTATTTTTTAGCCTGTTGATATGATAGATTACATTAATTGATTTTCAGGTGTTGAACCAGCCTTGCTAAACTGAAAATAAATCCCACTTGATTGTGGTACATACTTCTATTTTTATATATAGTTAGATTCAATTTGCTAGTATTTTGTAGAGAATTTTTGCACGTGTGTTTATGAGAGGCATTGGTCTGTCGTTTTATTGACTTCTTTTCAATTACATCTCTGTCTGCTCTTACTATTATTGTAGTAACCATTGTATGGTTTCTATTATTTTAAATAATATTTTAAATGTATTAAGATATCTTTTATGGCCAGAATGTACCCTATCTTGATGAATGTTCCATGTGAGCTTGAGAATATTGTGTTCTGTTTTAAAATAAAGTAGTTTATAGATGTCTATTATTTCCAGTTGAATGATGGTATTGTGAGTTCAACTATGTTTCTAATCATTTTGTGCCTGCTGGATCTGTTCATTTCTGATAGAGATTTGTTGAAATCTCCAACTATCTTAGTGAATTTATCCATTTCTCCTTGCAGTTCTAATAGTTTTTGCCTCACTTAACTTGACATTCTGTTGTGAGGTGTATATATGTTAACAATTGTTATTTCTCCTTGGAAAGTTGACACCTTTATTATACAGTGCCCTTCTTTATCCCTAATAATTTTCCTTCATTTGAAGGAAATACTCTGTTGGAAATTAATGTAGCTACTCCTACTTTCCTTTGATTAGTGTTAGCATAGTGTATTTTTCTCCATTCTTTGATTAGTGTTAGCATAGCACATTTTTCTCCATCCATTCATTTTCTCTATGGGTCTTTATATTTAATGTGGGCTTCTCATAGAAAACATATAGTCTGGACTTATTTTTGATCCACTCTAAAAATCTCTATCTTTTAATTGGTGCCTTTTGACCACTGAAATTCATAGTGGTCATTGCTATAGTTGTGTATTAACCAACTAAAGATACATATTAGTACCATATATGTTACTGATTTTCATTTGTTGCCATTATTCTCTGTTACTTTTTTTTTTTTTTCATTTGTTTGTTTTGAGACAGAGTCTCACTCTGTCACCCAGGCTGGAGTGCAGCTGCATGATCTCGGCTCACTGCAACCTCCGCCTCCTGGGTTCAAGCAATTCTCCTGCCTCAGCCTCCCGAGTAGCTGAGACTACAGGTGGCCACCACCACACTAGGCTAATTTTTGTATTTTTAGTAGATACGAGGTTTCACAGTGTATAAGTATTCCCTTTTCTCTGTGGCTTTGAGTTATAGTGCTACTATCCCACATACAAACTTCCATTTTGGCAATTATCAAAGTGCTTTTTGTTTCTGTTTCAACTTTTACTTTAGATACAGGGTGTACATGTGCAGATTTGTTACTTAGGAATATTGAATTATGCAGAGATTTGTATTATGGATCCTGTCACCCTCTTAAGGCCATAGCATCCAATTGGTAATTTTTTAACCCACTCCTTCTCCCTCCACTTTCTACTAGTATTTCTGTATAGTATTTAAGGTCTTATATTTTAATTAACTATGAGAAAGTTGGAAGCTGGATGTCAGGCTGTGGCCTCACCAACTCTCCCTCTCTCCTCAAAACTTGCATGCCAGCCAGAAAGAGAAGAATTTTATTCTGAGTTTTCAACACCCATAAATGAAGCCTTTGTTTTCCCCAGATGGTCTACAGTGTTAATTGTTCCTACATTTATGTTCATGTGTGCTCAAAGCTTAGTTCCCATTTATAAGTGAGGACATGGGGTTTTTGGTTTTCTGTTCATACATCACTTTGCTTAGCGTTATAGCTTCCAGCTCCATCCATGTTCTTGCAAATAACATGATTTCACTATTTTTATGGCTGAATAGTATTTCACAGTTTATATGTACCAAGTTTTATCTATCTTACCTACCATTGAGGAACACCTGGATTGATTCCATGTCTTTGCTATTCTGAATAGTGTAGTGATAAACATATCAGTGCATGTGTCATTTTGGTAGAAAGATTTATTTTCTTTTGGAAATATACTCAGTAATGGGATTGCTGGATCAAATGGTTGCTCTGTTTTAATTTTGGGGAGAAATATCCAAATTGCTTTCCAAAGTGGCTGGACTAATTTGCATTTTCACCAATACTGTATAAGCATTCCATTTTCTTCACAACCTTGGCAGTATCTGTTGATTTTTAACATTTTAGTAATAGCTATTTTAACTGGTGTCAGATAATATCTCATTGTCGTTTTGACTTGCATTTCTATCATGATTAGTGATGCTGAACTTTTTTTATATGTTTGTTGGCCACTTGCATGTCTTCTATTGAAAAATGTCTGCTCATGTTTTTTGCCCATTTTTAAATGTCGTTATTTGGTTTTTGCTTGTTGATTTGTTTAAGTTCTCTGCAGATTATGGATGTGAGGCCTTTGTAAAATGCATAGTTTATAAATATATTCTCTTATTCTGTAGGTTGTCTGTTTTCTCTGTTGTTTCTTTTGCTATGCAGAAGCTGTTTAGTTTAATTAAGTCCTAGTCTATTTTTATTCTTGTTGCAATTGCTTTTGGGGACAGCCAAAAATTATTTGCCAAGGCTGATGTCGACAAGAGTATTTCCTAGTTTGTCTTTAAGGATTTTTATATTTGGAAGTATTACATTTAAAGTTTTATTCCATATTGAGTTAAATTTTGTATATGATAAAAGTAGGGGTCGAGCTTCAATCTCCTAACCTGTTATCCCAGCACCATTTGTTGAATGGGGAGTTATTTCGATATTACTTATCTTTGTTGGCCTTGTCAAAGATCAGATGGTTGTAAGTGTGCAACTTTATTTTTGAGGTTTCTATCTTTTTTTTTTTCCATTCATTTATGTGTCTGCTTTCATACCAGTATCAAGCTGTTTTCGTTACTGTGGTTTTATAAAATACTTAAAGTTAGGTAATGTGATGCCTCTGACTTTATTCATTCACTTAGGATTCTTTTGTCTATTTGGGTTTTTTGTTTCATATGCATTTTAGAACAGTTTTCTCTAATTCCTTAAAGAAGGACATTGGTAGTTTTATAGGAATAACATTGAATCTGTAAATTGCTTTGGTCCATATGACAATTTTTTATAATATTGATTCTTCAATCTACAAGGATGGAATGTTTCTCTATTTAGTTGTATCATCTTTGATTTTTTCAGCAGGGTTTTGTAGCTCCCTTGTAGAGATCTTTAACTTCCTTAGTTTGCTATATTACTAGGCATTTAATTTTCTTTGTCACTTTCATAGGTGAGATTGTGTTCTTGATTTCACTCTCAGCCTGGATGTTTTTGGTGTACAAAAATAATAATTAGATTTGTACATTGATTTTGTGTCCTGAAATTTTACTAAAGTCAATTATCAATTTTGGGAATATTTTGGCAGAGTCTTTAGGATTTTCTAGGTATATAATTATATCATCTGCAGATAAATAGTTTAACTTCATATTTTCCAGTTTGGATGTCTTTCATTTATTTATCTTGCCTGATTGTTCTGGCTAGGACTTTTAGTATTATGTTGAATAGGTGTGGCAAAAGTGAGTATCCTTATCTTGTTTCAGTTCTTAAGGGAAATTGTTCAAGTTTTTGCCCATTCAATGTGATGTTAATTGTGTATTTGTCATAGATGGCTCTCATTATTTTGAGATATGTTCCTTTGATGCCTAATATGTTGAGAGTTTTTATCATGAATTGATTTTGAATTTTATCAAAAGAAGTTTCTTTGTCTTTTGAAATAATCATATGGTTTTTATATTTAATTTTGTTTATGTGGTGAATCACGTTTATTGATTTGCATAGATTGAACTAGCCTTGCATTCCAAGAATAAAGCTTACTTGCCTGTGGTATGTAAACTTTTTGATGGGTTACTGTATTCCATTTGCTGGTATTTTCTTAAATATTTTTGCATTTATGTTAATGACAGATATTGGTCTGAAGTTTTTTTTGTTGTTTTGTTTTGTTCTTTAGTTTATTTTAGTGGCTCTGTCATATTTTGGTATCAGGATAATGCTGGCTTCACAGAATTAGTTAAGGAAAAGCCCCTACTCCTCATTTTGTTTTGGAATTATTTCACTAGGTTTTGTGTCTATTTTTCTTTGTTCTACTGTTAGAATTTAGCTGTGAATCTATCTGGTTCAGGGTTTTTTTTTTTTTTTTTTTTTTTGGTTAACAGGTTCTTTATTATTGCTTGCATTTCAGAAGTTTACATTGTTCTGTTCAGGGTTTTAATCTCTTCCTGAAAAAATCTTGGCAGTGTGTGTGGTTCTAGAAATGTATACATCTCTTCTAGATTTTCCAATTTGTGTGCATAGAATTGTTCCTAGCAGTCTCTGAGGATCTTTTGTATTTCTGTGAAGTCAGTTGTAATATTACCTTTGTCAATGCTGATTGTGCTTTGTATCTTATCTTTCTTTTTCTTTTTTAATCTTGTTATGGGTCTATAATCTTGTTTATTTCTCTAAATAACCAACTATTGGTTTCAATGATCTTTCGTATGAATTTTGGCATCTCTATTTCATTCAGTTTTTCTCTAATTTTAATGTGTCTTTTTCTACTACCTTTGGGTTGGTTTGTACTTTTTTTTTCCTAATTCCTTTAGGTACAAACTTACACTGGTAATTTGAAACTTTTCTAACTACTTGAGGAAAGTGTTTAGTCTGTAAACTTTTGTCTTAACACTGCTTTGGCTACATCCCAGAGATTTCAGTCAATTGTGTCCCTATTTGCATTAATTTTATAGAATATTTTTTATTTCTTAATGAATTTTGTTCACCGAGGAGTTTTTGAGGAGTAAGTAGTTTAATTTCTATGTACTTATGTAGTTTTGAGAGATCTTATTGATATTGATTTCCATTTTTATTGCACAGTGGTTCAAGAGTATACTTGGTATAATTTCAGTTTTTTTTAAATTTATTGAAGTTTGCTTTATGACAGAGCATGAGGTTAGTCTTAGAATATGTTCCATGTGCAGATGAGAAGAAAATATATTCTATGGTTGTTGGGTGGTGTGTTCTGTATATTTCTATTAGGTTCAATTTATCTACTTTCCTATTTGAATCTAAAGTTCCTTTGGTAGTTTTATGCCTTGGTGATTTGTTTAACACTGTCAGTGGGACATTAAAGTCTCCCACTACTGTTGTGTGGTTATTTAATACCTTTTGTAGCCAAAGGCTCCAAGAAATTTGGGATTATGTTAAATGGCCAAACATAAGAATAATTGGTGTTCCTGAAGAAGAAGAGAAATATAGAAGTTTGGAAAATGTATTTGGGGGAATTATTGAGGAAATCTTCCCTGGCCTTGCTAGAGATCTAGACATCCAAATACAAGAAGCTCAAAGAACACCTGAAAAATTTATTGCAAAAAGGTTATCATCTAGGTACATCATCAGGTTATCTAAAGTCAGGATGAAGGAAAGAATCTTAAGAGTGTAAAACAAAAGCACCAGGTAACCTATGAAGAAAAACCTATCAGATTAACAGCAGATTCCTCAGCAGAAACCCTACAAGCTAGAAGGGATTGGGGTCCTATCTTCAACCTCCTTAAACAAAACAATTATCAGCCAAGAATTTTGTATCCAGTGAAACTAACTTGATAAATGAAGGAAAGACACAGTTTGTTTTAGACAAACAAATGCTGAAAGAATTCGCCCCTAACAAGCCAGCACTGCAAGAACTGCTAAGAGGAGATCTAAATCTTGAAACAAATTCTAAAAACACATTAAAACAGAACCTCCTTAAGGCATTAATCTCACAATATCTATAAAATAAAAATACAATAAATAAATTTTTAAAAACCCAAGGTATTCGGGCAACAAATAGCATGATGAATGGAATAGTACCTAACATCTCAATACTGCCTTTGAATGTAAATGGCCTAAATGCTCCACTTAAAAGATACAGAATGGCAGAATAGATAAGAATTCACCAACAAAGTATCTTCTGCTTTCAAGAGATTCACTAACACATAAGGACACAAATAAATTTAACATAAAGGGGTGGAAAAAGACATTCCATGCAAATGGACACGAAAAGTGAGCAAGAGTAGCTATTCTTATATCAGACAGAAAAACTTTAAAGAAACCACATTTACAAAAAAAAGAGGGACATTGTTTAATGATAAAAGGCCTTGTCCAACAGGAAAATATTACAATCCTAAATGTATATGCACCTAACACTGGAGATCCCAAATTTATAAACAATTACTACCAGACATAAGAAATGAGTTAGATAGCAACAAAATAATAGTGAAGGACTTCAATACCCCACTAACAGCATTAGACAGGTCATCAAGGTAGAAAGTTAACAAAAAACAATGGATTTAAACTATTCTCTAGAACAAATAGACTTAACAAATATGTACAGAACATTTCACCCACCAACCGAAGAATACACATTCTACAAGTAAGTGTATGGAACTTTCTCCAAGACAGACCATGTGGTAGGCCACAAAACAAGTCACAATAAATTTTAAAAAATGAAATTATATTAAGTACTCTCTCAGACCACAGTGGAATGAAATTGGAGATCAATTTCAAAAGGAATCTTCAAAACAACATAAATACATGGAAATTAAATAACCTGTTCCTGAATGATCTTTGGGTTAACTATAGAATCAAGAGGGAAATTAAAAAATTATTTGAACTGAATTATAATAGTGACAAAACCTATAAAAACCTCTGAGATATAGAAGTCAGTGCTAAAAGGGCAGTTTACAGCATTAAATGCCTACATCAAAAAAGCTGAAAGAGCACAAATAGACAATCTAAGGTCATACCTCAAGGAATAGAGAAACAAGAACAAACCAAACCCAGACCCAGCAGAAGAAAAGAAATCACCAAGATCAGAGAAGAACTAAATGAAATTGAAACAAACAAACAAATACAAAAGATAGATGAAAGAAAAAGATGGTTCTTGGAAAAAATAAATAAAATTGTTATACCATTAGCAAGATTAACCAAGAAAAGAAGAGGGAAGATCAAAATAAGCTCAATTTAAAACAAAATGGGATAGATACTGGGGACTACAAAATGGGGGAGGAGAGGGGTGAGTGTTAAAAGCATACCTACTGAATACAATGTTCATTATTTTGGTGACTGGTATGCTAGAAACCCAATATCCACCATTATGCAATATATCCATGTAAGGAACATGCAAATGTACTCCCTGAATGTAAAATTTTAAAATAAAAATTATTAATTTTTTTAAAATTTAAAAACTAATAAAAAAATTGATATGCTCTGTGCTCAGATTTTTCCATCTCTGCAGTAGGTTTTTTTTTTTTTTTTGGTATATGGTTTATTATCTTATGTTGTTTTATTTGAACGTATTCCCTTTTCTCTGTCCTATGACTCTTACTGATCAAATGTTGGACTTCATGCAGTGATCATATATGAGTCTTTTCTCTCATATTTTCTGTCTCTTTGCCCTTATGCTTAACATTTTAAGGGATTCCCACCTTATTTTTAATCTTTTCTATTAAAGTTTTATTCTGGAAATTCTATTTGTAAGAGGTAAAATATTTTTCTAATTTCTGACATTTTTAAACAACATTTAAAATTCTTATCAAAATGCTCTCCATATGGACTTTTTTCTTAAAGTTTTCTTACATTTTCTGTTTCACCTGAGTATACTTTTTAATTATTTCAACTTTTATTTTCATGCAGAAGGTTTGTTTTTTATTCCTAGTGATCTGTGATTGTCTGTTTATATTTAGAAGAAAATTCTAGGTAGCTGGTATGGTTTCCCTCTATTCTTTTTTAAGTCTGATTTTTCATATGAGCATGACATCAAACTGGTAGCTTATTTAATGAGTATAGTATATAAGGTATTATATTTTAATTAACTATAAGAAAGTGGGAAGCTGGATGTCAGGCTGTGGCCTCACCAACACTCCCTCTCCCCTCAAAACTTGCATGCCAGCCAGAATGAGAAGAATTTTATTCTGAATTTTCAGCACCCATAAATGAAGCTTTTGTTTTCCCCAGATAGTTCAATTTTTTTTAGAAAGAAATGCTATGCTTTTTTACCTGGGGATAACTAGGCTAACAGTTCTCTGCACATTTAGAGAAAACTATGGAGTCATAGGCTGCCTCAGCTGTTCCATATGCAGTTTCAATCAATTCACCAGATTTCAACACCACTTTTTATTATTGATCTCTGTCATATCTGCCACTGATCATGAAGGCGCTCTGGAATTCTTTCAATTTTTTTTTTTTTTTATGTATCTGATCTGTTAGTAAAACTGTCTTCCCTTTTTTGTACAGAAGAAACTCTATTCTTTATTGTATTTCTAATTTAGGATAAAAAGACTTAAACACAAGTCTGCTTATTGAACCAGAAGCCCTTTAATAGTCTCTAAAAAATTTTGGTGAATGAACAATTTATGGATGGAAATGCTGCAATTTTTTTCTTCTTCAAAGTTTTTACTACCTAGGGTTCATTTTTGTATGTTTTCTTTAGTATCTATCAACTTTTTACACTATCCTTGAATACAGTTTTATGCTTTTGCTTATATATATAAAACACATATTTATATTTTATAACCATCTTAAGCTTTCGTGCTCCAAAAGACAGAAGTTGCACAGGGCATTTCACACATTTTTGAATCTGGAAAAGACTATGTGATTTAAATGTGAAAGCCTTTTATTCAAATAAAGTTGCCAACCTATTAAGAAAAAAAAAAGTGGCCGGGCATGGGGGCTCACGCCTGTAATCCCAGCACTTTGGGAGGGTGAAGAGGGCGGATCACCTGAGGTCAGGAGTTCGAGACCAGGCTAGCCAACAAGGTAAAACCCTGTCTCTACTAAAAATACAAAAAATTAGCCGGGTGTGGTGGTGGGAGCCTGTGATCCCAGCTACTCAGGAGGCTGAGGCAGGAGAATCTCTTGGAACCAGGGAGGTGGAGATTGCAGTGAGATCGCACCACTGCACTCCAGCCTGGGCGACAGAGCGAGACTCGGTCTCAAAAATAAAAAGTAAGTTTTTATAATGATATGGTAAAGTAATTATGTAAAAAATGAAATGGGCTTGTCAAAAGAATGAATCATTGATTTCTGGTAATGATACAGTTAGATAAATTATGGAAGGTAGTGAGGGAATGTCTAGAAAAAATAATGTTTTCAAAATTTTATTTTTAGCAAGAAGGAGAATGGGAACTGATTTGTTGGGTATCTTGAAATCTTACTTCTGCTCAATATGAGCCATGGTCACAGAAATATTTTTTCAAAAAATAAGAAACATTTGATTAATAAAGAGCTGAGAAAATTGATGAAGTTTTTAATCCTCCCAAAGAAAGTGTTTTATAGCCATTATGTGCTTAAATTTTTAAAATGACAGCTTCATTTATAGGTGCATAATTTTTCAGCTTTAAAAGTATTGCATAGATGGAGGTACATTGAAATTTGATGGAAGGTGAGTATGCTCAAACATAGCCAAATACATGTTTATGCTGGAATCAGTTGCTGTACACTTTCAACCTCTGTTTTGTGATACCTTCAGGGTCTGATACAATTCACCATTAAAACGGATTTCACCCTGCTTAAATGCCATATTTTTGGAATTATAAATATCATAATTAGAAAAATAAGTAGAGATTGTTTATTCCTTCTCAAAGTAATGGATAGACTATAATGACATGTATTGTTTTATTCTTACAGAGAGAATCTGCAACATGAAGATTAAGTGATGAGCCATAGCATACTTGCCCTTAGAGGAAGTCACTGTCAGGAGTGAGATTGAACAATTATTCTCCTTCTTCTTAGACCACACTTCAAAAGTGTCTTCTGAATAGAAATGAAAAAATAGAGATATTTGAGTTTATAGTCAGAAAAAGAAAGGAATTTAAAGTAAAATATTAATCACTGTATATTTTACTGTAAGTCTGTGGAAGTCATAAGATTCTTCTATTGCTGGAAGAGTTTAAAGAGTAATGTGAATAATTGAGAGTGCTAAGTAACAGAAATTTTGATTTCCTTTAAATTAAAGTAAGAAGTTGAAACATACCTTATTTTATTGATTCCAAGACACGTTTTTCATACTTTTATTATCTCCGAAATAGGAATATATTTACAGTCAATGAGATTCCAATTATAATTGGCAATGCTTTCTTATTCTTAGCAGTACATAAAATAGTGGTGCATATTATAGTCAATAGTGTTTTAGAGATAATTAAATATAGTAATTTACACTACATGAACCATGAGTTATATGTATCTATGAAACCGAAAGTTTGTGATTTAAGAGATACAAAGTTTAAGCGGCATCGAGAGCATTATGAATTTTCCTAGTGCAGCAGTTTACTTGCTCTGCCACATCTCAGACCTTTAAAAACTAACCATTTATTTTAAATATTTGTATTTTGTCTTATTTATCTCTTCTATAAAACTTCAACCCCCAAATAAATTGTTACGTTATTATATAATATAATATGTATATTTTCAGAGCCAATTAAAATGAAATATTTAAATGCAACCTAACCTTTTTAAAGCATTTCTAAATAACAATAAAATATTAGTCTTCTTCTGGCACTTTTGACCTATACATGGTTGTTGCCTTAGAATGTGTTACTTAGAAGCTTCTTGTTTTCTATTAAATGAACAGCTTTATCTCACAGAGGCATGATATTCTGATTATATTGTTCATTTTCACAATTCATTATAACACTTGAATTCCAATTGGAATATTAAGAAATTGTTTTTGTCATATTCTGAATTTTCATTCTACTGCCTGCTCTATCAGAACACATTTTCACCCCACTCAGCAAATTAACATTCCTCAATTATTGAATAAAAACACCTGCAATTTTTTAATTTTTTTACTTAATTTTATTTTATTGTAAGTTCTGGGATACATATGCAGGACGTGCAGGTTTTTTACATAGGGAAACATGTGCCATTGTGGTTTGCTGCACCTATCGACCCATCATCTAGGCATTAAGCTCCATATGCATTAGCTATTTATCCTGATGCTCTCCCTCCCTCCGCCTCCAACAGGCCCCAGTGTGAGTGTGTTATGCCCCTAACTGTGTCCATCTGTTCTCATTGTTCAGCTTCCACTTATAAGTGAGAACATGTGGTGTTTGGTTTTGTGTTCCTGTGTTAGTTTGCTGACAATTATGGCTTCCAGCTCCATCTATGTCCCTGCAAAAAGTATGATGTTGTTTCTCTTTATGGCTGCATAATATTCCATTGTGAATATGTACCACATTTTCATTATCCAGTCTATCACTGATGGGCATTTGGGTTGATTCCATGTCTTTTCTATTGGGATTAATGCTGCAATGAAGATATGCATGCATGTATCTTTATAACAGAATGATTCATATACCTTTGACAATATACCCAGTAATGGGGTTGCTGGGTCAAATGGTATTTCTGGTTCTAGGACTTTGAGGAATTGCCACGGTGTCTACCACAATGGTTTAAATAATTTACATTCCCACCAACAGTGTCAAAGTCTTCCTATTTCTCCATAGACTCGCCAGCATCTGTTTGTTTCTTGACTTTTTAGTGATTGCCATTCTGACTGGTGTGAGATGGTATCACATTGTAGTTTTGATGTGCATTTCTCTAATGATCACAGATGTTGAGCTTTTTTGATACGTTTGTTGGCTACATAAATGTCTTCTTTTGAGAAGTGTTTGTTCGTGTTCTTTGCCCACTTTTTAATGGGGTTGCTTGTTTTCTTCTTGTAAATTTGTTTAAGGTCTTTGCAGATTGTGGATATTAGACCTTTGTCAGATGGATACATTGCAAAAACTTTCTCCCATTCTGTAGGTTGTCTGTTCACTCTGATGGCAGTTTCTTTTGCTCTGTAGAAGCTCATTAGTTTAATTAGATGCCATTTGCCATTTTTTGCTTTTGTTGCAATTGCTTTTGACGTTTTTTTCATGAAATGTTTGCTTGTACTTATGTCCTAAATGCTATTGCCTACATTTTTGTCTAGGGTTTTTATAGTTTTGGGTTTTACATATAAGTCTTTAATCCACCTTGATTTATTTTTTACAAGGTATAAGGAAGGGGTCCAGTTTCTATTTTCTGCATAAGGCTAGCCAATTTTCCCACCACCATTTATTAAATAGGGAATCCTTTCCCCATTGCTTGTTTTTGTCAGGTTTCTCGAAGATCAGAGGTTGTAGATGTGTGGTCTTATTTCTGAGTTCTGTATTCTGTTTCATTGGTCTATGTGTCTTTTTTGTACCTGTACATGGTGCAACAGTACCATGCTGTTTTGGTTACTGTGGTCTTGTAGTATAGTTTGAAGTTGAGTAGTGTGGTGTCTCTAGGTTGATTCTTTTTGCTTAGGATTGTCTTCACTTACATGGACTCCTTTTTGGTTCAATATAAACTTTAAAGTACTTTTTTCTAATTCTGTGAAGAATGTCAATGGTAGTTTAATGAGAATAGCTTTGAATCTATA
Source organism: Homo sapiens (assembly GCF_000001405.40). Taxonomy (NCBI): domain Eukaryota; kingdom Metazoa; phylum Chordata; class Mammalia; order Primates; family Hominidae; genus Homo; species Homo sapiens. The sequence goes on along the minus strand of NC_000024.10, from coordinate 4,323,762 downwards.
AATTACTTGGGCAGTATAGCCATTTTCACAATATTGATTCTTCCTATCTATGAGCATGGACTGTTTTTCCATTTGTTTGTGTCTTCTCTAATTTCCTCGAGAAGTGGTTTCTAGTTCTCTTTTAAGAGGTCTTTAACTTTCCCTGTCAGCTGTATTCCTAGATTTTTTATTCTCTTTTTAGTAATTGGGAGTTCCTTTATGATTTGACTCTTTGCTTGTCTATCATTGGAGTATAGGAATGCTTGTGATTTTTGCACATTGATTTTGTATCCTGATACTGCTGAAGTTGCTTAGCAGCTTAAGAAGCTTTTGGGCTGAGACTATAGGATTTTCTAAATAAAGGATCATGTCATCTGCAAACAGAGACAGTTTGACTTCCTTTCTTACTATTTGAACATTTATTTCTTTCTCTTGCCTGATTGCCCTGGCCAGAATTTTCAATACTATGTTGAATAGGAGTGGTGACAGAGGGCATCCTTGTCTTGTGCCGGTTTTCAAAGGGAATGGTTCCAGCTTTTGCCCATTCAGCATGATATTGGTTGTGGGTTTGCCAAAAATTGCTTTTGTTATTTTGAGGCATGTACCATCAATATCTAGTTTATACAGAATTTTTAACATGAAGGGATGTTAAATTATGTCAAAAGCCCTTTTTGAATCTACTGAGATAATCACATGGTTTGTGTCTTTAGATCTGTTTATTTGGTGAATTACATTTATTGATTTGTGTATGTTGTACCAGTCTTGCATCATGAGAATGAAGCCAACTTGCTTGCGGTGGATAAACTTTTTGATGTGCTGCTGCATTCAGTTTGTGAGTATTTTATTAAGAATTTTTGCATCGATGTTCATCAGGATTGTTGGCCTGAAGTTTTGTTTTCTTATGGTATCTCTGCCAGGTTTTGGTATCAGGATGAATCTGGCCTCATAAAATAAGTTAGGGAGAAATCTATCCTTTTCAATTGTTTGGAATAGTTTTAGAAAGAATTGTACCAATTTCTCTTTGTATCTCTGGTAAAATTCGGCTGTAAATCTCTCTGTTCCTGGGCTTTTTTTAGTTGGTAGGCTATTTATTATTGCTTCAATTTCAGAGCTTGTTATTGGTCTATTCAGAGATTCAATTTCTTCCTGGTTCTGTCTTGGGAGGTTGTGTGTGTCCAGGCATTTATCCACTTACTTCTGGATTTTCTAGTTTGTTTGCATGGAAATGTTTATAATATTATCTAATTGCACTTTGTATTTCTGTGGGGCAGTGGTGATATCCCCTTTATAATTTTTTTGTCTGTTTGATTCTTCTCTCTTTTCTTCTTTATTTGTCTAGCTAGTGGTCTATCTAGTTCATTAATTTTTTCAAAAACCAGCTCCTGCATTCATTGATTTTTTTTTTAAGATTTTTTTCTTGTCTCTATTTCCTTCAGTTCTGCTTTGATCTTGATTATTTTTTATCTTCTGCTAGTGTTGTTTTTTTTTCTCTCTCTTAGTTCTCTAGTTCTATTAATTGTGATGTAGGGGGTAGATTTGAGTGAGGTCTTTCTAGCTTTTTGATTGGGCATTTAGTGCTATAAATTTCCTCTTAACGCTGCTTTAGCTGTGTCCTAGAGATTCTGGTGTGTTGACTTTTTGTTCTTATTGGTTTCAAATAGCTTCTTGATTTCTGCCTTAATTTCATTATTTACCCAGGACTCACTTAGGAGCAGGTTGTTCAATTTCCACGTAGTTGTATGGTTTTGAGTGAGTTTCTTAATCTGGAGTTCTAATTTGATTGCACTATTTTCTGAGAGACTGTTGGTTATGATTTCAGATCTTTTTCTTTTGCTCAGGAGTGTTTTACTTCCCATTATGTGATTTTAGTGTAAGTACCATGTGGCATGGAGAATAATGTATATTCTGTTGTTTTTGTGTGGAGAGTTCTGTGGATATCTGTCAGGTCCACTTGAAGTCAAGACCTGAATATTCTTGTATATTTTTTATCTCAATTATCTGCTATTGACAGTGGGGTGTTAAAGTCTCCTAATATTATTGTGTGGGAATCTAAGTCTTTTTGTAGGTCTCTAAGAACTTGTTTTGAGAATCTGGGTGCTCTTATACTGGGTGCATATATATTTAGGATAGTTAGCTCTTCTTGTTGTATGGTTCCCTTTACCATTATGTAATGCCCTTGTCTTTTCTGATCTTTGTTAGTTTAAAGTCTGTTTTTTCAGAAGCTAGGATTGCAACCACTGCTCTTTCTGCTTTCCATTTGCTTGGTAAATTTCACCCATCCCTATATTTTGAGCTTATATGTGTCTTTGTACATGAGATATGTCTGTTGAATACAGCACACTAATGGGTTTTGACTCCATACATCTTGCCATCTTGCCATTCTGTGTTTTTAATTGGGTCATTTAGCCCATTTACATTTAAGGTTAAGATAGTCATATGTGAATTTGATCCTGTCATCATGATGCTAGTTGGTTATTTTGCACTTTTTAATATAGTTGCTTCATAGTGCCATTGGTCTTTTTAGTTCAGTGTGTTTTTGCATTGGCTGGTAATGGATTTTCCTTTCAATATTTAGTGCTTTCTTCAGGAGCTCTTGCAAGGCAGGCCTGGTGGTGACAAATTCCCTCAACATTTGCTTTTCCAAAAAGAATTTTATTTCTTTTTCACGTATGAATCTTAGTTTGGCAGGATATGAAATTCTGAATTGGAAATTCTTTTAAGAACGTGGATTACTGGCCTCCAATCTCTTCTGGTTGTAGGGTTTCTGCTGAGAGTTCTGGTGTTGGTCTTATGGGTTTTCCTTCGTAGGTGATCTGGCCTTTCTCTCTGGCTGCCCTTAACATTTTTTTATTAATTTTGACCTTGGAGAATCTGATGATTATGTGTCTTGGGGTTGATCTTCTCATGGAATATCTTATTGGGGTTCTCTGGATTTCCTGAATTTGAATGTTGGCCTGTCTTATTAGGTTGAGGAAGTTCTACTGTATGATATCCTAAATTATGTTTTTCAACTTAGTTCTGTTCTTCACATCTTTTTCAGGTACCCCAATCATTTATAGGTTCAGTCTTTTTACATAATCTCATAGTTCTTGAAGGTTTTGTTCACCCCTTTTCATTCTTCTCTAATCTGTCTGCCTGTCTTATTTCAGCAAGATAGTCTTCAAACTCTGAAATTCTTTCATCTGCTGGTTCTATCTGGTTATTGATACTTGTAGTTGCATTGTGAAGTTCTTGTGTTGTGTTTTTCAGCTTTATCAGGTCATTTGTTGTCCTCTCTAAACTGGTTATTCTGGTTAACAGCTCCTGTAATGTTTTATCATGGTTCTTGGCTTCTTTGCATTGGGTTATAACACACTCCTTTAGCTCAGTGAAGTTTGTTACTACCCACCTTCTGAATCCTACTTCTGTCAATTCATCCGTCTCAGCATCTGCCCAGTTCTGTGCCCTTGCGGAGAGGTGCTGCGATCATTTGTAAGAGAGACTCTGGATTTTTGAGTTTGCAATGTTTTCTCATTCATTGTTTCTCATAGTCATGAGTTTATGTAGCTTTGGTGATTGAGGCTGCTGACCTTTAGATAGGGTTTTGGGTGGGGACTTTTCTGTTGATGCTATTGTTGTTGCTTTCTGTTTGTTTGTTTTTCTTTTAATGGTCACGCCAGTTTTCCATAGGGCTGCTGTGGTTTGTTGGGGGTCCACTACAGACCCTATAGTCTGGGTCCCTCCTGCACCTGTAGGTGTCACCCGTGGAGGGGGCAGATCAGCAAAGATGGCTGCCTTCTGCTTCCTGTTGGATTTGTGTCCCAGAAGGGCACCGATCTGATGCCAGTGGAACTCTCCTGTATAATATGTTTGATGACTCTTATTGGGGGTCACTGAGTCAGGAGGCACAGGATTCAGGACCCGCTTAATGAAGCACTCTGGCTGTTCCTTGGTGGAGGGGGTGCACTGTGCACCCCAAGCGGATTCCCACTTGTCTGGACTGCTGGGATTCCTCAGAGCCAGCAGGAGGAAAGACTAACTCTGCTGATCCATAGAGACCACAGCCACCACTCCCCGCAGGGGCTCAGTCCTAGGGAGATGAGAGTTCTGTCCCTAAACCCCCTGACTGGAGTTTGCTGAAATTCCTGCAGGGAGTCCCCGCCCAGTGAGGAGGGATTGGTCACTGTCTTGCCTAAAGAGACAGTCTTGTCACAATCTTCCACAGCTGCTGTGCTACACTGTGAGGAATTCCTCCTAGGTCCAAACTGTCCAATCTCCCTGGCACCAGCAGGAGACTAGTGGCAGACTGGAACTGCAGCAATGGCTGCCTCTGCTCTCTCTGGATCCTCAGTCTTCTTAGGCAGCAGGCAGCTGCAGCGATAATGGCCACCCTTCCCCTCAGGAACTCAGCAGTCTTAGGCAGTCTCCAGCCAAGTGGCTGCTGAGAATCTGCACCACTCTGTGCTTGGGACCCAAAGCCCTGGTGGCGTGGGCTCACGAGAGGGATCTCCTGTTCCATGGGTTGCACAAATCTGTGAAAAAAGTGTGGTTTCCAAGATAGGGTAGCACAATCACTCATTGCCTCCCTTGGCTGGGGTGGGAGTTCCCCTTTTCCCGTGTGGGTTCCCAGGTGAGCCGTAGTACCACCCTGCTTTTCCTTACTCTCCATTGGTTGCACCAACTGCCTAGTCAGTCCCAATGATAGAACCTGAATACCTCAATTGACGATGCATGATTCACTCACCTTTTTCTTCTTCTTGCTGGGAGCCTCAGATGGCAGCTGTTTTAGTAGGCCATCTTGGCCCCTCCTCCCAAATACTAGCAATCTTAGACTTTCTTCTGCCCTCCAGAAACTTAGAACTCAGTTAAAGATCCAACAATAATATATACAAGTCACTTAATTAATTATATATGAATGTGTACAACTAAGTGCTAATTTGTGTAGGAGAAATAATGCATGACAAGCATTATAAATATAGATTATGAGTTCAGAAAAGTGGAAGTTCAGTGAAGAAAAGCTGCATTAGAAGTAGAAAGAGATGATGTAAAAAATGGGAAGGTTTTGAGAATACAGAAAAACAGAGAAGACATTTCAGGCAATAACAAGAACAATGACAACATAATAACACACAGCAAGAGCAGTAATATAAAATGATGATTAATAAAAAGTAAATAAAATAAGGTAATAATTTGAAAAGGATTAATATGTTTTTCTTTTTGTCTTTCTAACTATAAAATTTTAGCTAAAAACCAGGGTATTCGTCTATGCGAGCAGAAAGTGAAATTAGAGTTGATTACAGAGAAAGTGCAAAGATAAATTTTTAGGTAATAGTAAATTTGTGACCCTCTATGTTAATATGTATGTAGTATAAACAATATTCTAGGGACCGTGTGTGTTATACTCTTTACATACTTATTTCATTTGATCATTTGTAACAACCCTATGTGATTGATATCATTACTATTAATATTTTAAGGATTAGGATATTAAAATTAATTAATTTGCTGTAAAACCCATAGCTTATAAGTCTTTGTGGTGGCTTTCTAATGTGCCAACTTGGCTAGGTTGAATTCTATTTCTAATAAATTTATTTGCTCTATGTTGCTGGATGGAGTGGACCACAAGTGAGATTCTTTAGAGATTTAGAAAAAGGATGGGAAATAGCAGCTGTTTTGTCTCTTACACATATTGTTGCTGATCTGCAAACTCACTTTGTTAGCATGAAGCAGTAGTTAGCCTGTAAGGGCTCCAGCATTTCCTGGATTTTCCTTTGACTTTTCCAAATCCTAACCTATGTGATATGTTTATCTCCATGACAAAGAGCCCTGGCTTCTGTGTGACATCTACATTATCAAGGTCAGAGACAATGAGGACTTACATGGGTTTCAGTCTGCCCTCATACTGTCCCAATTTTTTCCTGGGACATCTATCTTTCTTACATCTATCTTTCTTTCCCTGCTGCTTATCCTGTGGATTCAAGCTCTTGCATCAGCTGCAAGAATAGCCTGCTCCCACAATTGTAAAATTAATACTTTAACAGATCCACCAACTGTCTATCTATCTATTGATCTCTCTCTCTCTATTATCTATTCCTACCTATCATCCATATCTTTCAATCTAACCTTGGTTTTGTTTTCTAATAGAACCCTGACTGACAAAGTCATGGATCCTGGATTTGAACACAGTAGGTCTGTTTCAAGATTTTATACTCTCCACCACTCTTGCATGTGTGAACACAGATGTACAGATACTTAGGAAAATAGCCTTGAACCATCTCGAACATAGTCTTATAATTCTTATTTGTCCTATTAAATTCATCTAATATATTTATGACTTTATGTAGGTAAATTTCTCTTTTATGACTCAGTATCTGCAGCTATAAAATAAAGATATTAAACTGGATCAAGGGTGTACTAGTCTGTTCTTACACTGCTCATAAAGACATACCTGAGACAAGGTAATTTATAAAGGAAAGAGGTTTAATGGATTCACAGTTCCACATGGCTGGGGAGGCCCCACAATCATGGTGGAAAATAAAGCAGGAGCAATGTCATGTCTTACATGGTGGCAGGCAAAAAGAGCTTGTGTAGGGGAACTCCCCTTTATAAAACATTCAGCTCTTGGGAGACTTATTTACTATCACAAGAACAGCATGGGAAATATCCACGCGCATGATTCGATTACCTCCCACTGGGTCCCTCCCAGGACGTGGGAATTATAGGAGCTACAATTTTACATGAAATTTGGGTGGGGACACAGCCAAACCCTATCATTCTGCCCCCAAGCCCTCCCAAATCTTATGCCCTCACATTTAAAAACCAATGATGCCTTCCCGACAGTCCCCCAAAGTCTTAACTCATTTCAGCATTAACTCAAAACTCCACAGTCCAAAGTCTCATCTGAGACACGCCAAGTCCCTTCTGAGTATTACTTTCTAAATGCAATGGGAGTACAGGTATTGGGTAAATGCACTCATTCAAAATAGAAGAAATTGGCCAAAATGAAGGGGCTACATGCCCCATGCAAGTCCGAAATCCAGTGGGGCAGTCAAATCTTAAAGCTCCAAAATGATCTCCTTTGGCTCCATGTCTCACATCCAGGTCAAACTGATGTAAGAGGTGGGTTCCCATGGCCTTGGGCACCTTCATCCCTGTGACCTTGCAAAGTACATCCCCCCTGCTTCTGGCTGCTTTCACAGGCTGGCTTTGAGTGTCTGTGGCTTTTCCAGGCACATGGTGCAAGCTGTCAATGGATCTACCATTCTGGGGTCTGGCATATGGTGTCCCTCTTCTAACAGCTCCACTAGGCAGTGCTGCCTAGTGGGGACTTTGTGTGGGAGCTCCCACACCACATTTCCCTTTTGCACTGCCCTAAAAGAGATCCCTGCAGCAAACTTCTGCCTGGACATCCAGGCATTTTCTTACATTCTCTGAAATCTAGAAATTAAGTCATGTTTAATTTTATCATTCGATCACTCCCTATCAATATATACTCATGGTAAAAGTAAATAAATATAAATAGCAATTTCCCAAACATTAATTCATAACTCCTTCTTAGCAAATATATTTGGTATATAATTCATTTGGTTCTACTAATCTCCATTTTGGGGGTGGATAAAATGATCATATATTGTAGCTTCAACTACTACCTCTATGTGGACACCTCATATGTTTGGTTATACCACCTCTAGTTTTAACTCTAGTTTCATATCTCTACATGTTGACAGTATTATCATGTGGAAGTTTAATTACCACTTCATTCAATTTACCTACAATGAGGTTCATAACCTGCTCACCTCTCTTAAAAATATTGGCCTATTTCCCAAGTTCATTGATTCAACAAAAGGCATTAACATTCTCTCAATCAGGGTTAAATTTCTGAAGCAAATTTTTTACCCTCAAGCTCTGTGGATATTCTCTTTAAAATCACTCTTTATTCAGTCCTTATGCCCTCTCCTTCCACACCACCTCTGCTTCCCTGAAAATAAGGACTGGCTATAGATGCAGTTTATCTTTATTATAGCAGTAATTAAGTCCTATAATTTTGTTTTGCTTCAGCATCCATTTTGAATAGAAGTTGGGCTTTCTCATACCAGAAAGCTTAATTGCCCTTGACAAACTTTCTAGTTCTCCACCTCCTCCCAGTTCCTCAGTGTAGTCGACCCAGATATTTGCCTTGTACAACCACCTCCTGGTGTCCCACATCCCTGTGGAACAGTTAAATACAACTTATTTGACTCACCCCACTGACTCCTTTACCCCATATGGATTGTGCAGGTATGCCAAAGTTACTACCTCGCAGTCACAGTGTGATTCCATGGAACCTGCTTGCTCTAAACCCACCAGTTAGAACTTCTTGCAGGATACCTGCTTGATGAGTGCCCTGGAGTCCCATAAGTTAAGTCTAGAGTTTGTAGACACTCTTGTTATGAAGATCTCAAGACCAAATTAGAAACAAAAAATAATACAATAGATCACCTAGCTAACTACAAAATGGACTGTTCTCTGATGTATCCAAGCCCTTTTCTTGGAGAGTGTTAATACCTTTACCTGCTCATTTATCATGTCTTTTATTATATCCACAGGTGTTTTTTTTCAGATTGTATTAAAGAGGGAACTTCAACAGAGGATAGATAGAGGGATAAAAGACAAATCTAAAAATATAGCTATCTTTTCTTTTTACTGCTTAAACTCTACTCTTGTTTTCTAAATGTGGGTGATTAGTTACCATTTGTAATTCCCACTTTTACTCTCTGTAAGGGATTCCTATACTATTACAAATCCTAAAGCTTCTCTTAACACATTGTGAAGTGATACAATTTAATGCAAGCAGATTCTCAACTATAATGTTATTTTGTATTTCAGAAAACAAACAGTTGTTTTTCTATCTAAATGTGTACAAAGTTATTAATTGAGAAAAAATGTTTTATATACCTAAATCTTTCTCTAATATTAGTTTTTTTTTTCAGAAATATAAATGTGTGATGTCCTAGAATGACCACCCAATAACCAAATAAACTAGCAGAAAACAATTTATAGACATGCAGAGGGAGAATGGAGGAGATACATAAAACACTAGAGTAGTAAATTTTCTTACTCAATATCGTATTCTGTCTTATATTTTGCTTCCCTGTGAAATATGTTTTAGTCTAGGAATAAATTTTACTCATAAAGCTCAAATAATTTTTATGTGAGTTTATTCTATGGGAATCACTGTTAAAAGTTGATTAGAAGGAAGTTCATTTAACAACAGCAAAGCATATGTTTTTATTTTCCTTTTCAAACACAATTACTTCTTTAAAAGTGCACACTTAAAATATTATTTAGGAAATAACTCCCTAGTGTTTGAAAGAAAAAAAAACACAAACAAATTCTGAATCTGCGATCTTGTGAAAGAACAGAGGAATAAAATCACAAATTGTTAAAATCATTTAAGTTAAGGCTTATTATTTGACCTTCAAATACTGGGTAGGTCCTTCTGATATTTTGTTTTATTATGAGGATACTTTTCTGGGCACCTGTCAGTTCTTCATATAGTAAAAACCTGTCAATATTAATCATAACCAAATAAAAACACAATTTGTGTTGTTTACTAAATCCTGTATTATAACTGTACATTTATTCCTTATGCAGTCACTAAAGCTTTAAATGGATATATGGTTGTTCACAAATTCTCCACTTTTTTTGACACTTAAAATTACAAATCTTTCTATTTATTTATATATTCCTATTTGCAGGATTCACATTGTTATATCATAGGCTATGAAAATGAGATGGCTTCTTCCTGCCAGTATAGCCTAGACTATTAATACTACCCATGTTTGATTTCTTTCAAGAACAAAATATTGATATTGGAAGAAGTCAAGAAGTAAACTTATACCACACATAAAGCAGGTGTTGTAATGATTTAAATATAATAAAATTTCTTTTTTTTCTCTCTTTTATTACACTTTAAGTTCTAGGGCACATGTGTACAATGAGCAGGTTTGTTACATAGGTATACATTTGCCATCTTGGTTTGCTGAACCCATAAACTCATCATTTACATTAGGTATTTCTCCTACTGCTATCCCTCCCCCAGCCCCACACCCCACAACAGACCCTGATGTGTGATGTTCCCCGCCCTGTGTCCAAGTGTTCAATTCCCACCCATGAGTGAGAACATGCGGTGTTTGGTTTTCGGTTCTTGTGATAATTTGCTGAGAATGATGGTTTCCATTCATCAATGTCCCTGCAAAGGACATGAACTTATCCGGTTTTATGGCTGCATAGTATTCCATGGTGTATATGTGCCACATTTTCTTAATTCACTCTATCATTGATGGACATTTGGGTTGGTTCCAAGTCTTTGCTATTGTGAATAGTGCCGCAATAAACATACATGTGCATGTGTCATAGTATCATGATTTATAATCCTTTGGGTATGTACCCAGTAATGGGATCGCTGGGTCAAATGGTATTTCTAGTTCTAGATCCTTGAGGAATCGCCACACTGTCTTCCACAATGGTTGAACTAGATTACAGTCCCACCAACAGTGTAAAAGTGTTTCTATTTCTCCACATCCTCTCCAGCATCTGTTGTTTCCTGACTTTTTAATGATTGCCATTCTAACTGGCATGAGATGGTATCTCATTGTGGTTTTGATTTGCATTCTCTGATGGCCAGTGATGATGAGCATTTTTTCATGTGTTTTTTGGCTGCATAAATGTCTTCCTTTGAGAAGTGTCTGTTCATATCCTTTGCCCACTTTTTGATGGGGTTGTTTGTTTTTTTTCTTGTAAATTTGTTTAAGTTCTTTGTAGATTCTGGATATTAGCTCTTTGTCAGATGAGTAGATTGCAAAAATTTTCTCCCATGCTGTAGGTTGCCTGTTCACTCTGATGGCAGCTTCTTTTGCTGTGCAGAAGCTCTTCAGTCTTGCTGCATTCCCATAAGAAATGTCCTGACTGGCTTATACAATTTTCTAAACTTTCAGATACACACATATCTTACTTTTACCATTGTACTATTTTTAAAAATCACTACTGTATTTTTGCTTTAATCTGGAGTTTTGTTGCTTGCTAAACCTTGTACATATATTGTAAATTAAATTGTTTCATTATTTAGAATATTTACAAATTTTTCTGTATTTAAAATAATGACAATTTATATATTCACCTAAATACTTAACTTATAGTTACCATAGACCTGTAGTTCCATTAATAAATCCATAGTGTACTCCATGAAAGCAACATAAACTACAGGTCCATAACCACCAAGACCATTTTTAACAACATATTTATGCAAAGTTTTCACTGGAGTAGCTGAAGTTGATTTCCTTCCAATTACATCTCCTTTTATATCTGCTAGAAGCTGTTTGGTGGAATATTGATGGTTCATTATTTCTGAAGTAATGACTTTGGTCTTTGAAAAATTTAAAAACTCTATTACAAAATCAATAGTTTTGAGACCAGTTAAATTTACTGTAGTCTTTTATTTTTTCTCCTATTCTATTCAAAGGGTATATGCTGGTCAAAGTCATAGTTTCCCCAGTATCTGCTGCCAAAATGCCTCATAATGTTCTTGTATGGTTAGTGACGTGAGCCATATGCATTTCTTGATTTTTTAAAACTTTGTTCAATGAGTAATTATCTTGCATTGCAAAATGCTAGATTATTTAAATTTTTACTACAATTTGATTTCCAAATTTTGAGATTAACATAGACTAGTTTTAAAGGGAATAAAGTAAATGCTTTCTGTTAGGAAATCCAAAACATCTGAAATCAATTTAGGAGCTGAAAACATTTCATCTAAAACAAAGAATTCAGGAAAATTATTTGATATTGTCCATTTATTATAAGGATAATTATAAAAGCAATATAATGTGTTATTTTCCAGCCCATGGAGATTATGAGATTCAGTTATGATAGAAGGAAATAGTTCTTGCTGTGAAGGTTGTTAAATCTTGACATTCACCATTGAAAGACATTTTATAATATACATAACCATATATTTTTAATTATTACAACTATGCAGCAGGTCAATCCTCTGTGACACATGCACTGTTTTTGAGCACTTAACATATACCAGGCTTTGGTCTAAATACTTCAGGTGTGTGAATTCATTTAATTTTTACACATCCTATGAGAGAAATATTATTCCAACTATAAAGACCAGGAAATTGAGACCAAAATTGGAACCACTATATGACATTCTGATAATTAGCTGAAGTCTTTATATTTCATTGCTTAAACTTTCAACCCTTTTCATTGCAATGGTTATTTAATTTGTTGCAAAGTTTATTGCCTTCTGATATTCATCATGACTTTCCATGTTTTATTACACTTTATTGTAATAAATAATGTAATATAAGCCTATATTAATTATTATGTGCAAAGCACTTGTTTAATGTTTTATATATACTACCTCTTTGCAGGAAAGTAAAGAGATTTCAAGATAATATAGTAGATTAGTTAAAAGCAAAAACTGTGAATCTAGGCTGCCTAGAATTGAATTCTCACACTATAACTTACTAGCTATGTGACAAATTAGTTGATCATTCCCTGCCTTAGTTTTCTCATTTGTAGAATGGATTGTTGTGAGGATTAAAGGAGTATTGGCATTTATGTATCAATTGGCCATCTATTTATCATCTATCAATCTATGTAGCATTTCAAAAGTGTCTTGTACATACTAAACGCTATAGTGGATAAATGTTAAATGCTATTACCTATTAAATGGATTAAGTAAACTGACTGACTAAAGGCCACAGGACCAACAGAATTGAAAGCTCCAAACTAGGTCTGATACGTTACCAAGGCCAAGTTCTTTTTTTTTTTTTTTTTATTTTGTTCAAAAAGACACACATATGAATTTCCATCCTCTTAACAAATATTTAAGTGCAGAGTACTGTGTTGCTAACTATAATCCCAATAGTGTAGAATAGATTTCTAGAACATTTTCATCCTGCTTGAAGGAAATTTTATATCCTTTGAACAGCAACTCTCCATTCTCCATTCCTCCCAGCCCCTGGCAAACAACATTCCACTCTGTACTACTATGAGTTTGACACCTTTACATATATCACATAAGTTAAATCATACAGTTTCTGTCCTTCTGCAACTGGCTTATTTCACTTAACATAAAGTCCTCAAGGTTCATCCAGATTATAGCATATGGCATATTTTTTATCACTAAATAAATTCCATTGTATGTATATATCACATTTTCTTTATTCATTAGTCCATGGGCATTACCTCTTGGCTACTATAAATAATCTGCCCAGAATATGAGAGTACAAATATCTCTTCAAGATCTGGATTTCAGTTATTTTGAAAAAATAGCCAGAGTTGGGAAGGCTGGATCACATGGTAGTTCCATTATTAATGTTTTCAGGAAACGCTATACTGTTTTTCCCTAGCAGCTTTATTATTTTACATATTTCCCTTCAGTGCTCAAGTGTTCCTTGTGTTCTACATCCTCATCAACACTTGCTACATTTGTTGGTTTTTGTTTTTAAATTCTAACAAGTATAAGGTAATATCTCATTGTTGTCGAATTGCATTTCCCTGGGTATTAGGATGTTGAGCAACTTTTAATATTCCTCTTGACTATTTGGACATCTTCTTTGAACAAATATCTATTCAGATCATTTTATTACTTATTAATTGGGTTATTTGGGTTTTTTTTGGTATTGAGTTGTAGTTTTTTATATATTTTGGATATTAAGCTATCAGATATATGGTTTGCAAATATTCTCCTACAGACTGTAGGTTGCCTTTTTATTCTGTTGGTTATTTCCTTTGTTGTGCAAAAGCGTTTTAGTTTGATACGGTCCCACTGGTCTATTTTTGCTTTTCTCACCTGTACTTTTGGTGTTATATCCAATATATCATTGCCAAGATCAATGTCATGAAGATTTTCTCCTATTTTTTTCTAGAAGTTTTACAGTTTACATTCTACAATTAAGTCTTTAACTCATTTTGAGTAGGTTTTTATGAATTACGTGACATAAAAGCCCAATTTTATTCTTCTGCCTGTGAATTTGCAATTTTCTCATCACCATTTGTTGAAGAGATTACCCTTACTCCACTTTGTATTCTTAGCTCCCATGTTGAAGCTCTGTTGACCATATATGCATGATGTTATTTCTGGGCTTCCTATTCTGCTTTATTGGTCTAAGTGTCTATTTTACGCTAGTATCATACTATTTTGATTACTGTGGCTTTGTAGTGTGTGTTAAAATTAGGATGTTAGAGTCCTTTGTCTTTGTTTCTCTTAAGATTTGGGTACAATCCTTTATAGTCTCATATAAATTTTAAGATTGCTTTTTCTATTAATGTAAAAAAATTGAGTTTCTTATACAGATTGGAAAAACCTGCAGGTCATTTTGAGTAGTATGTATATTTTTACAATATTAACTCTTCCAATTCATAAACACAGGGAATCTTTGCATTTATTTTTATCTTCTTTACTTTTGTTCACCAGTGTTTTGTAGTTTTCAGTATACACAAGTCTTTTTCCTTTTTGGCTAGGTTATTCATATGTATTTTATTATTTTGATGCTATTGTAAATGACATTATTTTCATAACTTCTTTTTCCAATATTTCATTGTCAGTGTACAGAAACACAATTTTTGTACATTTATTTTGTATTCTGCAATTATATTGAATTTGTTTTTTAGTTCTAACAGTGTGTGTGTGTGTGTGTGTGTGTGTGTGTGTGTGTAATCTTTATAATTTTATTTCTACCTATCTGATTTAGATGCCCTTTTTTACTTATTGCCCTGGCTAGAAACTCCAGTACTGTGTTGAACAGAAATGGTGAGAGTGGGCATCCTTGACTTTTTCCTCACGTTAGAGAAAAAAATTTCAGTTTTTCACCATTGAATATAATAGTTGTGGGCTATCTATATATGGCTTTTATTACTTTGAGTTAATTTCTTCTATATCTAGTCTGTTTTTATCATGAAAAGTTGTTGAAATTTCTCAAATGTTTTTTCTGTACCTATTGAGATGATCAAATAATTTTTATTTTTCATTCTATTAATATGGTATATCACATTGACTGATAGCTTCCTATATTATTTTTTTTTTTTGCATTCTAGGGGTAATTCCACTTGGTCATGATGTATGATCCTTTTGTTATCTTGTTGAATTTAGTTTGCTAGCTTTTTGTTGTGAGTTTTTGCATTTATGTTCATCAGGGATATTGGCTCATAATTTCTTTTCTAGTAGACTTCTTGCCTTTCTTTGGTATCAGGGTCATTTCAGCTTCATAAAATCAGTTCAATAGTGTTCACTGTTCTTTATTTTTTGGAAGAACTTGAGAAGGATTGGTGTTAATTCTTATTTATGTTTGGTTGAACTCACCAGTAAGGCCATATGTTCCTAAGCTTTTCTTTTTTGGAAGGTTTTTTTCATTCATTCAAACTCCTTACCAATTATCAGTCTGTTCAGACTTTCTATCTCTTCATGATTCATTCTTGGTAGATTATATGTTTGTAGGAATTAATCCATCTTTCCGAGTTATCCAATTTGTTAGTGTACAACTGTTCATAATAATCTCTTATAATCATTTTATATTTCTGTGATGTCAGTTATAATGTCTCCTCATTTTTTATTTTATTTATTTGAATTTTTTCTTTTTTCAGTCTAGCTGAAGTTTTGTGAATTTTGTTGGTCATTCCAAAAAGTAACTCACTTTTATTGAGTTTTTACAAATTATTTTCTATTTTGTTAGTTCTGATTTAATATTTATTATTCACTTTAGTCTGCTAATACGGGCTTAGTTTCTTTTTCTTTTTTTAGTTCTTTGAGTTTGTGCACACACACACACGCAGCACAAAACAATAAACAGAGGTGAAGATGCTGTAATCTGATATATTAAACTGAGCATTCAGAAACCAGAAATATTAAGCTTAACCTGCCATAGTCTTAGCATAATCAATTTAACATAAATACTCATTATACTAAAGTATTTAATAAATTGTACCATTGGGGCTCTTCTAGGTGTATGTCATTTAATTTGGCTTGTAATTTGTCACATTTATGGAGATAATATCAGGGTCTCTATGCCATAAGCATTGTGTTTTGCAACTCAAGGGCCAAAGCAAGCCAAGATTTAAGTGTAGCTTATCAACTTCTATTCCAGATCTTGAAATATGTATGCTATTTGTAGCTAATATGTGTAGAAAGTAGCACTCTGGAATTTAGTTTTAGGTCAAAATTAAGATTTGCTATTTTTTCTTCAGTACACCCAGGAATTAATTAAGAGGGAAAAATATTCTGGTCTATTCTGGTCCTAGGAAAGATGAGCAACTTGATTGTACAGAATGAGGAAGCTCCATAAGCATACTTCTATACTTGTAAACTTCATTGAGTTAACATATGTTGACAAAATATTTTGTGTTATGTATTACTGAGTATTCAGTGTATTGACAACCCAACATATGTCTAAGCAATGACCTATACTTTTCAATATATTATCACAGATAATAATAAGAGGATAGTTTAGGGAACTATTCTATCAGCTTGTAATAGTAAGCCACATTTCCTACAAGAGTAAAGACAAAGATTCAAGAACACTATTTCCAGGCCTGGCACTGTGGCTCATGCCTGTAATCCTAGCACTTTGGGAGGCCAAGGCGGACAGATAACTTGAGGTCAGGAGTTCGAAACCAGCCTGGCCAATATGGTGAAACCCCATCTCTAATAAAAATACAAAAAAAATTAGCTGGGCATGCTGGCAGGCGCCTGTAATCCCAGCTGCTCAAGAGTCTGAGGGAGGAGAATTGCATGAACCCTGGAGGAGGAGGTTGCAGTGAGCCGAGATCGCACTCCAGCTTGGGTGATAGAGTGAGACTCTGTCTCAAAAAAAAAAAAAAAAAAAAAAAAAAAAAAAGAAAAGAATACTATTTTCAAGTCATCCTGCAAGTGACTCAAAGCAAGGTGAAAGAATTAAAATATTAGTTTGAGAAATTTATTCTATCATAGGTAAAATTATTTAAAACAGCACTATTAATTATATAATTCAAACCATATATAAATAATTAGGCACAAATTCCTCCATCACCAATTAAAATGTACAGGTATAGAAAATTTGATTTCCGTACTAGTAGCATGGCAGGCATTTTTCAGTTGGGATTATTCAGAGCTTCTTAGGTAATAAAAGAAAGTATTTCTATTTCTGAACAGATTTGGGTAGAGATAAATTATTAACACTGGCAGTGAAACCAGATCATTAGAAAAAATATTATCTTACAACAAAGACACTTTAATTCTAATATTTTTTTCTCCTATATATCGTTGTTACCAATCTTCATGGTAAAAAAATTGTTTAGGTAATTAGTTTAGTGCTCAGAGAGGTTGCCTCATATAGGGAGATATGATTGTTTACCAATTATACTCATGACACAGTGAACTCTTTAAGATTTGCAGATAAAGAAAACTTAAATTTGAGCAGGTAATTTGTTATGGAAACATAATAGATTAATGATACAGTGACCATCAAAACTCAAAATTTCAGCTTCCTGTTTGTATGAGTGCAAAGCCAGTGGGCTAGGCAATCTGACCTTTTTTAGATTGTATTGTTTTGTGTTAAATTTTAATTTTTAAATTCTGATTAGTTTTCTGAATTTATAACTGGAAAAAAAATTGAGGTCATTAGTGTTTTTAGTCTTCCTGGATGCTTTAGAATCCAAGGAAGTGGTGTTTATAATCAATTTTTAGCAGTAAAACATCAGACCCTTTTGTAAAGCTCTGAAGATTCTATAAGAAAAATAAATGGATTTAAAATAGATGATTTTATTATTTTTTTTGCCAGCATTTTTTTTTACCTTTTAATCTATAAAGAGGTAACTCTTGTGGTTGCAGCATTTAGAAAGACACCTGTTACTTTTCATGATTACTGATAATATATGCCATTATATACGTTATAGATTTATAGAATCTGGAAATTCTAATCTTAAATTTACTGTTAGAGAAAAGTATTACCAATATCATATTTACTAGCCCAGGGTTGATTCTTGCAGCGTAATCCTGGTGGTAGGCAGCTATAAAATAATTTTTCTGCTTCCATTACTACTTTTTAGGAATCTTGGATCAAACTTTTTTTGGTCCACTCTCACCTTATTTTTTCTATCAGGTAAGCTGTAACTAGGGGTGTCAAATGACTTGAAACAGACAAGTAAGCTGTAACTAGGGGTGTCAAATGACTTGAAACAGACAAGTTGACTGCAGAAAAAATCCTGCCCCCAGATGGCTTAATAAGTGACCACTGTAGATTCCCAAGCTGGAGTTTGCCAGCTCTTCCTGGAGTGAATGTGCTCAGTTTCCTTGCCATGCACCGTGCATTTCATTCTCCCCCATTGCTCTGTGCACTTGTGTGTACTGTGCCAATCCACTCTGCATCATGACATGAAGTTTCAGTGTCAGAGGTGGTATTGTCATATGAACTGGTTTATGATACTTAACTCTGGGAGTACGTGAGTATTGGAGAAGAAACAAAAGTTTGAAATGTGTATAGCCAGCATCTAAGCTATAGAAATGTGTCCCAAATCTTGCAGTTTATGTATGAAAGAGACATCATAGTCAATTGTATAAATTTGATTAGAATCCTATAGTTTAATTACATTACCAAGAATGAGTTGTAAAGTTGAAAGAAACTTTCCTAAACTATGCTAGAGGAAAACCAAATTATGTTTCTCTTTTCTCTATAGAAAATAATGTCACAAAATCACTGTGCTATGAAGAGCTAATCAAAGCATTGGTAACAAAAAATAGAAAAATAATATGAAAGAGGTTTCTCAGTTAATTAAAAATATTATGTTTTTTTTCTGGATGTTGTGAAGTTTGTGATACTTGTCAGCTTTTATAAATTTGTAATTTTGTGTGATTTCCTTTGCTCATTCTAAAGAAACATTCACTTTCATTCCTAATTTGTTATTCTTTTACTTAAAGCGTCCACTTCAAATTATATAAGGGGCAAAACCTACAAAGCCTGAATCCACCAGTGCACCTACATGAGACAATCTTACTTGCTTTCTTGTGTTTATTAGTTTTGCAGCAGATATTTCTGCTACTACTCCTCTCTGAGGTATAATTATACACGCTTCTCTAAGATCCTTCTATTGCTACAGATCTTGTAATGGCAACTTTTTGTAAGAATTTGTATATTGCATCTGAATAACACAGAACAGCAAAGCAATTTTGCATAAGCTTTTGGCATTGTTGACCCCATCAAAATGTTTAAATTATTCCCAAATGATTGGATTGATTCAGTCCTTTTGGACTATGTTTTCAATGCATGCCGTGAAACTGAAGGTCTTTAGCAGCATTTGTTTTTTTCTGGCAGGTTAGAGAAATTAGACTTTTCAACATGGGAATTCAAGTTAGCAAAATTTAAAAAAGAAATAAATAGAAAGAGAGAGAGGGAAATATAAAGAAATAAAGAACAGTATACTGATCTCCATACATTTGGAGATTATAACTCTATTTCAAGCAATTATGATAATTTTTAGCATTTACATGACTGCCTTTGTATTATAGAAACTGTTAGATTATGATGATTGTACAGGCCAGATTTATATTTGCAGCAAAAGCAAAACAAGGATACCACAAAAATAATCACAACTTGAAATAATTTGTTAATTTGTTACTTGTTAGTCATGCTGTGGTAAGGCTTTTCTTTAACATTGGTGTACTTTATTTGTGAATTTCATTTATAGGATCAGTAAGCATAGCCTAAGGTCCACTGAGTCTTAATGAAAAATGTTGCACTTTCAGTAATTAACTGCAGTATTACATCAATTCCATTTTAAAGGTTTCAGGGAAAGGTACATTTTATAATTTCCCAATAAAAATATAAATATTTAGCAGTTCTGATTATCAGAAAATGTATACTTAAATCCAGCTTAATTCTTTCCACAATAATTGGTATTTTCTTGTTCATCTGTGTTTGGTAAAAAGTAGTGGTTGTGTAAGTGTAGTTATATTTAAATATCTGTTATTTTTAAATTGTGAAGCATTCAGAAGAGTAATACAAAATTATCTACAACTCTGTAATGTAAACATAGTACTTTACCTCTGATTTGAAAATATGGACAATTTAGAGAAAGAGAATCATTTAACAAAATACAGGCAAGTTTAAAACAGCATTATTCTGGACACATGAATATGTTGAAATTCAAAGATAAAGGAGATATTTGCAGCTAGGGTTAATGGAGCAAAATGTTTAGCTTTAGAGGTATGTCTTAAGAGTGAGTGGGAAAAAAAGAATGAGTTTCTATTGTTGTAGAGTTTAAACAAAGACAATGACAATGACACAAAAGAAAGCAAAAACAAACAACAACAACAAACCTCCTTTTGAGAGAATAGTAAAAGTAAAGAACAGAAAACCAAACCTTTCCATAAAATGTTTAAGAAAGCAGTCCTTTCTAAATTATGAAATTTATAAATATCATCATTACCCAGTAAGCCATATGTGAAACTTCAGAATCATCTATGATTTATCTATAAACTTCTTGCCCATCAGTTAGTCACCAAAACATTAATTATTGTATTATCTCTCCCTCACACAATTGTTATGTTAGAATTTAGTATGGAGGTTATTCCAAGTTCTCAACATACCACTGGTCAGTTATTAGCAATGTAGCCTTGAGTGAGCATATAACCTATAATAATCTCAAGTCACTTTAGTTGTAACACAGTAATAATAAAAGCACATGCCTAATTTGCGTGGTAGATACTGCAGGACATTTATAAAGCACATAGCAGGTAACATAATAACCCTTCACTGAATATTACCTTTAATATTTTCTATTATTCCAATACTAACCTCTAGTTTTGGCCTTAACTACTTATGCTTAGTTATTCTAATAACCTTCATATTTATCCCTCTGACTATTATTTCCCCACAACAAGCTATCTTACATGCCTTTGCTAGATCAATATTCCAAAATCATAGTTCTTATCATGTTTCTTTACTTCTCAAAATCTGTTCTTATATTTTATGTATCCAAATAATCAATTTTAATACAATTTGCCTGTCATTCAAGCGATTCAATGTCCACATTTTGTCCTTCAAGCTTTTGTGTTTGGTTCCAGATCACCTCAATAAAGCAAATATCACATTAAAGTGACTGGCATTAATGTTTTGTTTTCCCAGTGCATATACAAGTTATGCTTACACTTTGCTGTAGTCTATTAAGTATGCAAGAATAACATTATGTCTAAAAACATGTGCATACCTTAGTTTAAAATTGCTTTATTGCTGAAATATGTTATCAGTCATCTGAGTCTTCAACAAGTCATATTCTCTTGAGTGGTGGAGGGTCTTCCCTGGATGTTGGTAGCTACTGACTGATCAGGGTGGTGGTTACTAAAGGTTGAGGTAGCTGAGGAAGTTTCTTTTTTTAATTTTATTTTATTGCAATATTTTTTGGGGGGAACAAACTTTTTTTATTAGATAGATAAGTCCTTTAGTGGTGATTTCTGAAATTTTGGTGCACCCCTCACCTGAGCAGTACACACTCTACCCAATGTATAATATTTTATCCCTCACACCCCTCCCACTCTTTCACCCAAGTCTCCAAAGTCCATTATATCATTCTTAGGCCTTTGTGTCCTCATAACTTAGCTCCCACTTATAGGTAAGAATATAGGATTTTGGGGTTTCTATTCCTGAGTTTCTTCATTTAGAATAAGGGTCTCCAACTCCATCCAGGTTGCTGCAAATGCCAATATTTCAATTCTTTTTTTATGGCTGAGTAGTATTTCTTGGTGCATGTATATATATACTGTATTTTCTTTATCTACTCATTGGTTGATGGGCATTTAGGATAATTCTGTATTTTTGTAACTGCAAGTTGTGCTGCTATAGACATGCATGTGCAAGTGTCTTTTTCATATAATGATGTAGTTTCCTTTGGGTATATACTCAGTAGTGGGATTGCTAGTTATAATGGTAGTTCTACTTTTAGTTCTTTGAGAAATTTCCATACTGATTTCCATAGTGTTTGTACTAGTTTACATTCCCATCAGCAGTGTAAAAGTGTTCTTTTTTCACCACATCCATGCCAACATTACTTTTTGATTTTTTAAATTATAGTGATTCTTGTAAGAATGAGTTGTAGTTTTAATTTGCATTTCCATGGGCAGTGTTTCCATTTGTGTCATCTGCGATTACTTTTTCAGCAGTGTTATGTAGTTTTACTTGTAGAGACATTTCACTTCCTTGGTTAAGTGTATTCCTAAGTATTTTATTTTATTTTTATTTTTTGGAAGCTGTTGTAAAATAAACTGAGTTCTTGATTTGATTCTCAGCTTGGTGTTTTTTGGTGTACAGCAGTGCAGTTGATTTGTGTACACTGATTTTTATCCTGAAACTTTACTGAATTCATTTGTCAGATCTATGAACTTCTTGGATGAGTCTTCAGGGTTTTCTAGTTATATGAACATATCATCGGTGAACAGCGACAGTCTGACTTTTCTTTTCTGATTTTGATACCTTATATTTCTTTCTCTTGTCTGCTCTAGTCAGGAATTCCAGTAATATGTTGAATAGAAGTGGTGAACGTGGACACCATTGTCTTGTTCCAGTTCTCAGAGGGAATGCTTTGAACGTTTTTTTTCCATTCAGTGTAATATTGGCTGCGGTTTTTTTCATGGATGGTTTTTCTTACTTTGAGGTATGTTCCTTCTATGCCAATTTTGCTGAGGGCTTTAATAATAAAGGGATGCTGGAATTTGTCAAATACTGTTTCTGCATCTATTGGGATTATACTATATTTTTTGTTTTTAATTATGTTTATGTGATGTAACACAGTTATTGACTTGCATATATTAAACCATCTCTGCACCCCTGGTGTGAAACCCTCTCGATCATGGTGTGTTCTCTTATTGATATGCTATTGGATTCATTTAGCTATATCATTATATAATGTCCATCTATTTCTTTTTCTTTGTTATTGTTGTTGCTTTAAAGTCTGCTTTGTCTGACTATAAGTATAGCTACTCCTGCTCACTTTTGGTTTCCATTTGCATGGAATATATACTTTTTACCCCTTTACCTTAAGTTTATGTGATTGTTATTTTTTAGGTGAGTCTCTTGAAAATAGCAGATACTTGGCTGGTAGATTATTCATTCTGCCATTCGGTGTCTTTTAAGTGGAGCATTTAGGCCATTTACATTCAACATTAGTATTGAGACGTGAGGTACTGTTCTATTTATCCTGTTAGCTGTTGCCTTAATACTTTTGTTTTTCATTGTGTTATTTTTGTATAGGCCCTGTGAAATTTATGCTTTAATGAAGTTCTATTTTGATGTATATTGAGGTTTTGTTTCAAGTTTTAGAACTCCTTTTAGAATTTCTTGCCATGCTGGCTTGGTAATGACAAATTCTCTCAGCATTTGTTTAACTGAAAAATACTTTATCTCTCCTTCAATTATGAAGCTTAGTTTTGCTGGATACAAAACTCTTGGCTGACAATTATCTTGTTTAAAAGGCTAAAGATAGGACCTCCAGCTCTTCTGGCTTGTAAGGTTACTGCAGAGAAATAGCTGTTAATTTGGTAAGTTTTCCTTTATAGGTTATCTGATCCTTTTGTCTCACAGGTCTTAAGATTCTTTCCTTTGCCTTGACTTTAGATAACCTGATGATTATTTGCCTTAGTGATTATCTTTTCACAATAAATTTCCCAGGAGTTCTTTGAGCTTCTTGTATTTGAATGTCTAGATCTCTAGCAAGGCCAGGGAAGTTTCCCTCAATTATTCCTTCAAATAAATTTTCCAAACTTTTAGATTTCTGTTCTTCTCCAGGAACACCAATTGTTCTTAAGTTTGGCCACTTAACATAATCCCAAACTTCTTGGAACCTTTCTTCATTTTTTATTACTTTTACTTTGTCTTTGTAGGATTGGTTCAATTTGAAAGCCTTGCTCTGAAGTTCTTCCTTCTACTTTTTCTATTCTGTTGTTGCAACTCTCTCCTGCATTTTGTATTTCTCTAAGTGTGACTTTCATTTTCAGAAGTTGTGATTGTTTTTTCTTTATGACATCTATTTTTCTGAAAATGTTCTCATTCATATCTTCTATTGTTTTCTCAAAATTGCTTTAAGTTGGTTTTCATGTTTTTCTGTTATCTCCTTGAGTAGCTTAGTAGCTTAATAATCATCCTTCTGAATTCTTTTTCTTTTTTTTTTTTTTTTTTGGAGACTGAGTCTCACTCTCTCGCCCAGGCTGGAGTGCAGTGATGTGATCTCAGCTCACTGCAACCTCCACCTTCTGGGTATGGGTTTAAGCGATTCTCCTGCCTCAGCCTTCTGAGTAGCTAGGATTACTGGTGTGTGCCACCATGCCCTGCTAATTTTTGTATTTTTAGTAGAGACGGGTTTTCACCATGTTGGTCAGGCTGGTCTCGAACTCCTGACCTCGTGATCTGCCCACCTCGGCCTCCCAAAGTGCTGGGATTACAGGTGTGACTTCTGAATTCCTTACCTGGCAATTCAGAGATTTCTTCTTGGTTTGGATCCACTGCTAGGGAGCTAGTGTGATCTTTTGGGGGTGCTTTAAAACCCTGTTTTGTCATATTACCAGAATTACTTTTCTAGTTCCTTCTCATTTGAGTAGGCTAGTACTTAAAATTTTTTTTGGAATTTATTTTTAATTGAACTGTGTTTTTATTTAATATATATTTCTTTTTTATTCTCTTAAGGATCAGACTTTAATGTTTATTTTAGCCTAATTTGATTCTTGATGCTTGTAGGGGTGATGACTCTCTAAGAGATCCTTAGTTATGAGAGTCTTTGCGTTCTGGTTTTCCCTAATGCTGGTTGTAGTAGTTATATTCTTGGTGTGTGGGTAAGTTTACTATCTCCTATGGAGTTGGAAAGGCAAGGATCTCTTGAAGCATATCTCATTCTCTTGTGGTATACACTTTATTTATTTATTATTTGTCCTTGTATTTTATTTACTAAGTTGATGAATCAGGCTTCAGGCCAATAGGGGAGATATCCCTGGGTAAGCATTGATTCTGACTAAGGCAGATGGGTAGATGTAATACCCAATGTTGGGTCAAGGTCCCAGCCATAATGAGGATGGCTGAGTGAACTCTCAATTAAATGTGCTGAGGTTTTATCAGGGTGAAGAGTGGGAGCTACCTCAACTTCCTGCCAGATCAGCAGGAAAGCTTCACAGCCTCACTCCTGCTTTATGTTTCAGCTATTCAGATCATACAGGCACCACTTTTTGTCTATGGAAATGTTGATGTTTCAAGTAGGGGGGAATTGTGACTCTGCCACACTTGCAGGCCTGAATCTGGGGTAGGCTCCTCCTATGGGGCTGCACTCACCAGGACTGTTCCACAAAGTCTGTCTATAGGTGACTCCATACTGCATTCCTGTGGGGGAAGCCCCAGCTGTGTCTGCATAGAGTACCAGGGGGAAGAAGGACCCCTTCTCCAAGGCTCTTCATGATCACTGAGGCTGCCTGCCTGTTGTGGTATAGGTGCAGAATTTTTATTACTGCATCCAGCACTGCAATTGTGTTTCTGCTGTGAGAAAGATCTGGAACTTAAGGCCCGCTGTTCAGATTCTTTTGTCCCATGGGGTGATTCTTTGATGTGGTGTTGTCCCCTTCCCCTTAGGGATAGGGCTTCCTGAGAACCAGACTGCAGTGATTGTAATTGATCTTTTGGATCTAGCCACCCAGTGGGGCTACCAGGCTCTGGGCTGGTGCTGGGAAATGTCTGCAAAGAATCCTGTGATATGATCAGTCTTTGGGTCTCCCAGCCATGGATACCAGCACCTGCTCTGGTGGAGATGGCAGGGGAGTGATGCAGATTCTGAGAATCCTTGGTTGTAGACAGGTTAAATCCTAGTTTTCATGAATGCTGGTTATGCTAGCAGTGAAGTTGTTACATGGACAGACTCAGGACCTCTGGTAGCCAGGATGTTGCAGGCAGTGGTATTAGTTGCTGTTTTCTCCTTCCTGGGAGGAGCATTATTCTGTCATGAGATGCTGTAATGGCCTTAGCTGGTTGACCTCCAGCCAGGAGGTGGCACTTTCAGGAGATCCCAGCTGTTGTATTAGCAGTGGAATTTGAGCTTGCCCTAAGTTGGCCAGGGGAAGTATTCTGATTTCTCAGGTGATGGGTGGGGCCATAAAACTCCCAAGAGTTTGTGTCTTTTGTGTTTGGCTACCAGGGTGGGTAGAGAAATACCATCAGATGGGGGCAGGGTTAGGCTGATCTAGTAAAGACTCTTCTTGGGCAGGGCTTGCAGCTGTCACTGTGGGGATAAGCAGGTAGTTCTCAGGCCAATGGGGTTATGTTCCAGAGGGGATTATGGCTACCTCTCCCATACAGGAGACTTCACTAGGGAAGTAGGGGGTCACTGGTAGTAAAAGGCTTCACTCAGCCTCCACACAGTTGGCAAGGCTGGTCTTGTTCCCACAGTGCCCCACTAACAGTGCAAGTGGTCAGTTTAGATCCAGGCTGCCTGTGCACAGAACTCAGACCCTCCCCATGCCATAAGATTCCCCGCTGAAAAAGCAAGCACAGTGTTCATGCCACACCCCTCTCCATTTACCTGCAATGGTGGATAACCCGTTCCTATGCTCATTTCTGCTGTAGTTCCCATTCATCCCCTAGATTCTGTTCGAGGGATTTTGTTCCCACTTGAAATTATCACATTTATTTGGAAGATTCTTTCACCCTGTGTCCCCTCCCTAATTCTGCTGTCTGCCTTTCCTGAGGGCCCCTGTGAGATAAAGTCAGAGATGGCTTCCATGGGCTCAAACTGGAGACTGGGAGTGCCTACGAGGCTTCTCATACTGCTGCTTCTACTTTTGTATTTCACATGGCTCCCTAAATCCATTCCAGCTCTAGATAAGGTTAAATTCTTCTCCTGTTATCTGAAATTTTAGATTTCCCAGTGGGGATGTGTGTTCAAAGGCAGGTTTTCTCACTCTCACAATTTGGGAACTCAAAGCTTTTCACTCGTCCTGCAGAGTTTGCAGTGGCATGTCACTTCTTTCAAATATCTGTTAATTCTTTTGGTTTTCCTGATACGTTCCTGCAGTAATTCTTGGAACAACAGTTCACAGTGTGAGTATCAACACATCGTTCTGTCTATCCAAGTGGGAGATGCACATTAGCCCTGCCTCCTATCTGCCATCTTCCTTTGGTCCCAGGTAGAAAATATGTCAATTTCTTAAAATGAGACAATTATGTTTGCCATATTAATTGACTCTTTCTTTCATAAAAAATTTTCTCTGTAACATGCAGTGATTTTTGATAGCATCATCCCCACAACAGAACTTCTTTCAAAGTTTTAGTTGATCATCTCAAACCTTGACACTGTTTTATCAACTAAGTTTCTGTAATCTTCTAAATCAGGTGCTGTCATTTCAACCAAGTTCACAGCATCTTCACCAGGAGTGGACTCTATCCCCGCAAAAATCAATTTATTTATTTATTTTTTAATATTCCCCCTCTTGATTTTTATTTATTTTATTTTGTTTTTATTTTATTTTTTTTTTTAGTATTTATTGATCATTCTTGGGTGTTTCTCGCAGAGGGGGATTTGGCAGGGTCATAGGACAATAGTGGAGGGAAGGTCAGCAGATAAACAAGTGAACAAGGGTCTCTGGTTTTCCTAGGCAGAGGACCCTGCGGCCTTCTGCAGTGTTTGTGTCCCTGGGTACTTGAGATTAGGGAGTGGTGATGACTCTTAATGAGCATGCTGCCTTCAAGCATCTGTTTAACAAAGCACATCTTGCACCGCCCTTAATCCATTTAACCCTGAGTGGACACAGCACGTGTTTCAGAGAGCACAGGGTTGGGGGTAAGGTTATAGATTTACAGCATCCCAAGGCAGAAGAATTTTTCTTAGTACAGAACAAAATGGAGTCTCCTATGTCTACTTCCCTCTACACAGACGCAGCAACAATCCGACCTCTCCATCCCCTCCCCACATTTCCCCCCTCTCTACTCGACAAAACTGCCATTGTCATAATGGCCAGCTCTCAATGAGCTGTTGGGTACACCTCCCAGACGGGGCGGCTGCAGGGCGGAGGGGCTCCTCACTTCACAGATGGGGTGGCTGCCGGGCGGAGGGGCCCCTCACTTCTCAGATGGGGCAGCCGGACAGAGACGCTCCTCACCTCCCAGATGGGGTCACAGCTAGGCAGAGGCACTTCTTACATCCCAGACGGGGCAGCGGGGCAGAGGCGCTCACCACATCTCAGATGATGGGCAGCTGGGCAGAGATGCCCCTCACTTCCTAGATGGGATGGCGGCCGGGAAGAGGCGCTCCTCACTTCCCAGACTGGGCAGCCGGGCAGAGGGGCTCTTCACATCCCAGATGATGGGCGGCCAGGCAGAGACGCTCCTCACTTCCCAGACGGGGTGGCGGCCGGGCAGAGGCTGCAATTTCCGCACTTTGGGAGGCCAAGGCAGGCGGCTGGGAGGTGGAGGTTGTATTGAGCCGAGATCACACCACTGCACTCCAGCCTGGGTAACATTGAGCACTGAGTGAAGGAGACTCCATCTGCAATCCCGGCACCTCGGGAGGCCGAGGCTGGCAGATCACTCATGTTTAGGAGCTAGAGACCAGCCCGGCCAACACAGTGAAACCCTGTCTCCACCAAAAAAATACGGAAACCAGTCAGGCGTGGCGGCGTGCACCTGCAATCCCAGGCACTCGGCAGCCTGAGGCACGAGAATCAGGCAGGGAGGTTGCAGTGAGCCAAGACAGCGGCAGTACAGTCCAGCCTCAGCTCGGCATCAGAGGGAGACCATGGAAAGAGGGGAGAGGGAGAGGGAGAGGGAGAGGGAGAGGGAGAGGGAGAGGGAGCAATGTATTTGTTCATTCATAAAAAGCGAGTGCTCATCCATCCAAGTTTTATCATGAGACTGCAGTAATTTAGTTCCATCTTTAAGCTCCACTTCTAATTTTATTTATCTTGCTATTCCCACCATATTTATATTACTTTCTCTATAGAAGTGTTGAATCCATTGAAGTCGTTCATGAAGGTTGGAATTATCTTATTCCAAACTTCTGTTAATGTAGATATTTTGACCTTCCATGAATCACAAATGTTCTTAATTGGTATCTTGAATGGTGATTTTCTTTCCAGAAGGAATTGCCCAGATCTATCAGAGGAATCATTACCAATGGCAGATATAGCCCTATGTAATGTTTTTTGTTGTTTGTTTTGTTTTTGAGATGGAGTCTTGCTGTGTCGCCTAGGTTGGAGGGCTGTGGCACAATCTTGGCTCACTGCAACCTCCA
The DNA here is from genome assembly GCF_000001405.40 of Homo sapiens. Lineage (NCBI taxonomy): Eukaryota > Metazoa > Chordata > Mammalia > Primates > Hominidae > Homo > Homo sapiens. Next base: position 4,294,533 of record NC_000024.10, on the reverse strand, counting down.
CCTTCTGGGTTCAAGTGATTCTCCTGCCTCAGCCTCCTTAGTAGCTGGAATTACAGACACATGCCACCATGCCTGATTATGAAATGCTTTTCTTAAATAAGTCTTGGAAGTCAAAAACATTCATTCATCTAGGGCTACAGAATGGATATTGTGTTAACAGGCATGAAAACTACATTAATCTCCTTGCAAATTTTCATCAGAGTTCTAGGTTGACTAGGTGAATTGTCAGTGAACAGTAATATTTTGAATGAAATCTTTATTTCTGAGCAGTAGGTCTCAACAGCGGGCTTACATATTAAGTAAACCATATGGTAAACAGATGTTCTCTCATCCAGGTTTTGCCACTCCATTTATAGAGGACAGGCAGAGTATAATTAGCATAATTTTTAAATACCCTAGGATTTTCAGAATAGTAGATGAGCACTGACTTAAATTTAAAGTCACCAGCTGCATTAGCCACTAACAAGAGAGTCACCTTGTCTATTAAAGCTTTGAAGTCAGGCATTGACTTCCTTTCTCCATCTATGAAAGTCCTAGATGTCATCATCTTCCAACAGAAGGCTGTTTTTGTCTACAATGAAAATCTGTTGTTTAGTATAGCCACCTTCTTCAATTATCCTAGCTAGATCTTCCAGATAACTTGCTGCAGCTTCTCCATCAGCATTTGCTGATTCACCTTGCGTTTTTGTGTTATGAAAATGGCTTATTTCCTTCAACCTCATGAACCAACCTCTACTAGCTTCAAACTTTCCTACCGTAACATCCTCACCTCTCTCAGTTTTCATAGAATTAACGAGTGTTAGGGCCTTGCTCTGGATTGGGCTTTTGCCTAAGTGAATTTTGTGGCTGGTTTGTCTTTGATTCAGACTACTGAAATTTTCTCCATATCAGCACGTAATAAGGCTGTTTCACTTTCTTATCATTCAGATTTTTACTGGAGTAGCACTTCTAATTTTCTCCAATAACTTTTAGTTTGCATTCACAACTTGGCTCATTATTTAGTGCAAGATGCCTAGTTTTCAGCCTATTTTGATTTTTGAAGTGCCTTCTTTATTAAGTCTAATCACTTTCTACCTTTTGATTTAAAGTGAGAGACATGAAACTCTATTTGACGTGAATACTTACATGTCATTGTAGGGTTATTAATTGGCCTAATTTAAATATTGTTGTGTCTCAAGGTATAGACAGGCCTGACAAGAGGGAGAAAGATGGGGGAAATGCTGGTAGGTGGAGCAGTCAGAACACATACAACATTTATGTATTAAGTTTACTGTCTTATGTGACCGCAGTTTATGGTGCCACAGAACAATTACAATAGTAACATCAGAGACCATAAATGACCATAGCTGATATAATACTGAAAATTTTTGAAATATTATGAGAATTGCCAAAATGTAACACAGAGACACAAAGTAAGCAAGTGATGTTGGAAAATTGTTACCAATAGGCTTTCTTGATACAGGATTGCCACAAACCTTAAATGTTAATAAACACAATATCTGTGAAGCACAATAAAGCAAATAACAAAAAACTGAGGTATGCCTGTTGCAATAACATATTGTTTAAAACAGTGAATATATTTCTGAGAAATGTATTCTTAGGCAATTTCTTCATTGAATAAATATTGTAGAATGTATGTACACAAACCTAGATGTTATAGCTTACTACACACCTAAGCTATAGAGTATACCTTATTGCTTCTAGGATACAAACCTGTGTGATACGTTAGTGAACTGAATACTGTAGGCAATTGTAACACAATAATATATATGTGTGCATCTAAACATATCTAAGCATAGAAAAGGTAGAGTCAAAATATAGCGTACAAGATTAAATTTGATACATCTGTATAAGGCTCTCAGCATGAATGGAACTCACAGGACTAGAAGTTGCTCTGGTTGAATCAGTGAGTGAGTGGTAAGTGAATGTAAAGGCCTAAGATTGCATTCAACTGCAGACTTTATAAACATTGAACACTTTGGCTGTGCTAAGTTCATTTAAAATATTGTTTTTTCTTGAAAATAAATTAAGCTTGGCTTACTATAACTTTTTTGCATCATAAAATTTTTATTTTTTCAACTCCTTGACTGATCAAAAATAATACTTAGCTTCAAACACAAAAACACCTCATAGCTGTACAACAATATTTTCTTTGTTTATATGCTTGTTTACAACCTTTTTAAAAATAATTTTTAATGTTTTCATTAGTTTTTAAACTTTTTTTGTTATAAACGAAGACACAAAAATACACTTGATGCTAGGCCTACACAGAGCCAGAATCATAAATATCACTGTCTTCTACCTCCACATCTCAGATTTTCAGGGGCAATTACTTGCATGAAGCTGTCATCTCCTATGATAACAATGGTTTCTTCTTAAATACCTCCTGAAGGACCTGCCTGAGGCTGTTTTACAGGTAATATTTTTTATACGTTACTCTTTCACAATAATACATTCTAAATAATGATGAAAAGTGCAGTATAGTAAACAACAGGCTATAGAAATTTTCAGCTTCATTATAATCTTATGAAATCATCATCATATATGTGGTCCATCACTGACTGATATTACGTGGTTCACGACTGTGAATCTTTTATTCTGACCAGGTTAATCTATTTTGTAGTCAGTCAAGAAAAATTGCTCATTTGTCACCACTAAAACTTTGTATAAGCTAAGTCTCTCCTAACCAGATCTGGTGCTATCTCTCTCTCTCCTTCTAATACTTTTATTACCTCTTAGGGGTTATTAAGATATTATTCTTTTTTCTTAACTTTATTCCCTAAGATGGTTCTTGACTACCTAACAGTCAGTGAACTATTTTGTATTTTCTGTAATGCTTAGAATGCTGCTATATGCATAGAAGTTGCATGCAGGTGATTTTTGAAGCTATAAACTCATTAATGGACTACTGTAAATGGTTACTCTGCTTTCAACTCCCTACTACAGCCAATTTATCTCACTTATTTATTCTGTTACTAATAGACTCTCCCTTGTGCTATCATGAACCATGTACTAAGTTTCTTCATGGGAGAATAGTTGGAATTAACATTACAGACTCTCCTGTTTTTAGTTTCATTAAGTATTACTTAGAATTTTTCTGCTAATTGGTAAAAACCTTGAGAATTTTTATGCTAATTGATAAAAAACCTTGAAAATTAACATTAGGAATTTGAGCTAATTTCATTGGAAAAATATATGTCATTTCTATTTTTAAAGATGTGAGGAATGGTCCAATAAAATGGTGCCTCAAGATCAACATGTCATGTGGAACAGGGAGAGATGGGAGTAAATGAGCCCAGCTAGGTGTCTACTACAATGCTTATCAGCAATCTCAGAACTGGATATATACCCCCAAAAATATAGATCATTGTACCAAAAAAACACTCACTTTTATGTTCATCACTGTGTTATTCACAATAGCAAATACATGGAATCAATCTATGTGCCTATCAGTAGTGAATTGGATAAAGGAAGTGTGGTCCATATACACCATAGAATACTATTCATCCATAAAAAGAGGAGACCATGTTCTTTGCAGCAACATGGATGGAGCTAAAGACCATAGTCCTAAATGAATTAACACAGGAACAGAAAACTGAATGACCACAGTTTCTGTTTTTTCCATGTTTATGTCCATGTTTATTCAATGTTTAGCTCTCACTAATAAGTGGGAGCTAAACTACTAGACCACTAGAGGGAGGAGGGAAGAAAGTGGGAGTGAGAGTTGAAGAAATAGCTACTGGGTACTATGCTCACAAATGGAGTCCAATATACCCATGTAACAATTCTACACATGTACCCGCATATCTAAAATAAAAGCTAAAATTAAAAATAAAAGATATAACAGAATCCCTAGGGCAGAGATAAGCAGTGTTAAGAGTTAAGTTTACAGCACTAAATGCCCATATCAAAAAGTTATAAAGATCTGAAATTAGCAAGCTGGTATCACACCAAAAACTACAAAAAAAAAAAAAAAAAGAGAGCAAACCAAACCCAAAGCTGGCAGAAGACAAGAAATAACAAAAATCTGAGCTGAATTGAATGAAATTGAGAGTTGAGATCTATACAATAAAAAAATCAAAGGAATAAGAAGTTGTTTCTTTGAAAGAATAAATGATTGATAGATCACTAGCTAGACTAATAAAGAGAGAACTAAAATAAACCCAATCAGAAATGACAAAGGTGACATTATTACCGACTCAACAGAAATACAAAATAATTCTCAGAGACTGTTACAATCAATTCTATGCACACAAACTAGAAAATCTATATAAAATGGATGAATTCCTGGAAACATACATCCTCCCAAGATTGAAACAGGAAGAAATTGAAACCCTGAATACACCAATAATGAGTTTGAAAATTGAATAAGTTACAAAATGCCTAACAACCAGAAAAATCCCTGGACCAGGTTGATTCACAGCCTAATTCTATGAAATGTACAAAGAACAGCTGATACCATTCCTGTTGAAACTATTAAAAAAAAAATGCAGAGGAATGACTCCTCCCTAAATCATTCTATGAGGCCAGCTTTATTCAGATACCAAAACCTGGCAGAGACACACAAAAAAAGGAGTACTTCACGTCAAGATCCTTGATGAATATAGATGCAAAACTTCTCAACAAAATATTACCTAACAGAATACAGTAGTACATCAAGAAGCTAAACCAGCTCGATCAAGTAGGCTTTATTCCTGGAATGCAAGGTTGTTTCAACATATACAAATTGTAAATTTACTTCATCACATAAAAAAGAATGAAAAAATCTACATGATAGTCTCAATACATGCAGAAAAGGCTTTCAATAAAATTCAACATCATTTCATGTTAAAAGGCTCTTCTATCTCCTGATGTTTGCAGGCAATCCTTGTATTGATTGACTTGTAGCAGCATCACTCTAATCTCTGGCTCTGTCTTTAAAAGGTCATTTATTCCACATGTGTGACTTTTTCTTCTTATAAGGACCTCAGTCATTTTGTATTGAGGCCCCATCTTACTCTAGTATAACCTCACCTTTACTTAACTAATTACATCTGTAACAACCCTATTTCCAAACAAGGTCACATACTGAGATGCTGGGTATTAGGACCTAAACATGTCTTTTGTGAGGGCATAATTCAACCCTTAATATCCACTATCCCTTATCCATTGAAATATTTTGTTTTTTTACTTCTCCAGCACTACTTCTAATTCATAGCAATTTTAATTTTATGTTTCTTTTAAAATTTATTTGCACATTTAAATTGATGGTTTGTTTCAAATTGTTTGATTGTGAAGCTTTTATAATATTTTGTTTGATTTTCAGAAACAGTTCTTTTACTTCAGAACAACAGTACAGAGTGCTAAAGAAAATGCATTGCTCACTTGGCATGGGTTTGCTGTGTGTTCTGTATTCTTATGAATAATCTTTCCAGTCTTCTGTTATCAAAGGTCCTTGAAATATTTTTCAGTGAACGTGTACTTTGTTTCACCTCAGTGATATGGTTAGGCTTTGTGTCCCAACCAAATTTCATCTTGAATTTTAATCCCCAGGTGTTAAGAGAGAAACCTGTTGGGAGGTGATTAAAACGTGGGCAGTTTCCCCCATGCTGTTCTTGTGATAATGAGTGAGTTCTTATGAGATCTGATGGCTTTATAAGTGTTTGGCAAATTCCTCCTTTGCACACTTTGCTCCCTCCTGATGCCATGTGAAAAAGGTCTTCGCTTCCTCTTTGCCTTCCTCCATTATTGTAAGTTTCCTAAGACTTCACCAGCCATGTGGAACTGTGAGTCAATTAAACCCTCTTCCTTTATAAATTACCCAGTCTTGGGTATTTCTTTATAGCAGTGTGAGAATGGACTAATACACTCGGTTTCTCATTTTTATTGTCAAATCCAAGACCTTATTGTCACACACATCCGTGTGAAGAGACCACCAAACAGGCTTTGTGTGAGCAACAAGGCTATTTATTTCACCTGGATGCAGATGGGCTGAGTCTGAAAAGAGAGTCAGCAAAGGGTGGTGGGATTACCATTAGTTCTTACAGGATTTGGGATAGTCCGTGGAGTTAGGAGCAATGTTTTGCAGGCAGAGGGTGGATCTCACAAAGTACATTCTCAAGGGTGGGGAGAATTACAAAGAACCTTCTTAAGGGTGGGGGAGATTAAAAAGAACCTTCTTAAGGGTCAGGGAGATTACAAAGTACGTTGATCAGTTAGGATGGGGCAGAAACACATCGCAATTGTGGAATGTCATCAGTTAAGGCTATTTTCACTTCTTTTGTGGATCTTCAGTTACTTTAGGCCATCTGGATGTATACGTGCAGGTCACAGGGGATATGATGGCTTAGCTTGGGCTCAGAGACCTGACACTTACCATTATCAGCACATGTAATGCCTCCATAATCTTGACTTTATACATCCCAGTCTCTGATTATTAAATCTACTTTTTCTAGCCCACTCATCTTAATATTCCAGTTTCAATAATTATACTACTCCACCAAGATTTACAATCTGTTGCTTCTAGGAAATTTTCACTGTTTCTCCCCATCTCTTGTTCTCACTTTCCTTCTTCCTAGGGTAAATTTAATGGTCAGTTACAATAATCACTTCTTTGAGTACACTTAGCTTCTTTGCCCTTCTTTCATTTTGTTTAACTCACTTCACAAAACCACAAGTCTGGTTAAATCTATCTGCCTGAACTCGTGAATTCAAACTTATCTGAAGAAAAAGAAACAAAAACACGCTTACAGATCCATTTTAAATTCATAACCATAAAACCAATTGGGTTCTTAAGACTTCTTAGTAATTATACTGTTTTCCTAATCTACTCACTCTTCTACACTTTAAACAAGTATTTCACACATTCTCTGAAAAAATTCCTCTTCCTCTTCACTCTCAGCTAATGTCCTTGGTTTATAATACGCGGTGAAAACAAAAAAAAATCATCAGAGGAAATATCCCCAAATCTCACCACAAATATCAGATTAACTGCATCTGAACTAATTCACTCTGTCATCCTACTTCTACTGTGGATGAATTGTGCATGTGGACAGCAAATGCCAACAACTGTTGCATGCTCACTTAGTCCCAACCACTCTTTCTTATTTAAGGTCATCACTCCCACAGTTTCCTCCTTTCCATTCTGCATCACATACATTTTCATTTTCTGTCAGGTTATTTGTATTAACACTCAAACATGTTCTATTTTCAATCATAAAAAATAATATTTACCCCCATTTAATGCCACGCTTTTCCAGCTACCAGAATTTGCTTTCTACTAAAGCAAAATTCCTTAACAGAAATGTCATGTGCATCCATGCGAAGAGACCACCAAACAGGCTCTGTGTGAGCAATAAAGCTTTTTAATCACCTGGGTGAAGGCGGACTGAGTCCAAAAAAGGAGTCAGCAAAGGGAGATAGGCGTGGGGCAGTTTTATAGGATTTGGGTAGGTAGTGGAAAATTATAGTTAAAGGGGGTTATTTTCTTGCAGGCAGAGGCAGGGGTTACAAGGTGTTCAGTGAGGAGGTTCTGAGACTCATTGTCTAGGAGAAGGAATGTCACAAGGTTAATTGATCAGTTAGGGTGGGGCAGGAACAAATCACAATGGTGGAGTGTCATCAGTTAAGGCAGGGACTGACTATTTTCACTTCTTTTGTGATTCTTCAGTTGCTTCAGGCCATCGGGATGTATATATGCAGGTCACAGGGGATATGATGGCTTATCTTGGGCTCAGATGCCTGAGAAGAAATGTCTATAGAGACTGTCTCCTCTTCCTTTCTTCCAATTTTTCCTTAAATACACTCTACTCAGAACTTCATACCCACATTTGCATTAAAACCATTGTCAAGTTCATCAATGACATTCATGTTCCTAAATGAAATGGTTAACTTTCAGTTCCCATCTTGACATACTATGTATTTGACACTGGTGATGATTTCCATCAACTTGAAATATTTATTTTTTTTCCATTTTAATTCCAGAACAACATTATTCTATATTATTTTTTATTCTGATTTCTGTTTTTTTGTGCATAATCGCTTTTAAGGTTTCCTCCCCGTTTCTCTGACCTTAATAATTAGAGTGACCTAGGCCTTAATAACATTCTTTATCTACCCACCGTCATGTCTAGATGGTATTAACCTATGTTGTGGCTTTAAATTACATCTCTATGCCAATGGCAACAAAATTTATTATCTCCAGTATAAACTTCTACCCTGAATTCAAGACTCATACATCCCATTGTCTTCTCAGCATTCCCTCTTGGATCTCTAGGCATCTCAGTATTAACATACCCCCAAAATCTCCTGATTTCTCCTTTCCAAAAGTTGCTCCTGTATTATTTACCATTTAAGTAAATGACAATCACAAATCTTAGATTTATTATTTACTCACCTCTTTCCCTTACATCTCTTATCCATTTCATCAGCCAAACTCAGCTAGGTTCTACTTCAAAATGTCTTTAGAATCTGAGAATCTGGCTACTTCTCATCACCTTCTACCTATCCTGGCCAAAACTCCCATCATATTTTACCCGAATTATTACATTGACCTACTAAATGTTTCTTCTATTGTGTTTCAGTTTTTTCATCTTACTGTGTCATAGGTCACTCATCTTAATATCCCAGTTTCGATAATTACCACTGTAATTTACAGTAGTAACTCCTTTACAGGATTTACAATCTGTTGATACTACCATCTTTTCACTGTTTATCACCATCTTTTGTGAGTTGGTGCAAAAGTGGAGATATCACATTACAGTATCAGAGCCAGATATTATGGGTAATTTCTAGTTAATATAAATAGTGAAAGAGGTAAACTATGTGGAATCCAAATTATGTGGCTCCCCAGGTCCACTTAGCTCTACTTTTCTCCTGGATTTTGTTATTGAATAGTGAAGATTCCCCAGATCCTACCAATGTCATCTCATCTCCTAATAATCTTGATTGTCTTGGATTCATTGAAGTGAGGGCTAAACTCCAAGAAAGTCTCATAACATTTGTTGTAACTTCCTAGTATACCAGTCTGATCTGATCTAACCCTTGGAGTCGATGGCTCTTCCCAGCACTTCTGGACTTAGATGTAGCTGCTAAACTGCAAAGAGCATGGAATCTGGCATCTCCAGTGACTAGAAGGGCAGTGAGTCAAAACACAGAAAAGAGGAAGAATTAACGATCTATGGCTCTGCTTTTCTCTTACAGATAAACTTTTAACGCATGATGATTCACCATGGCCTTTTCAGATATCCCGTGTGATCAAGCAAAAAGCTGTTTCCTCATTAAGCCATTGGTGACTTTTTCACACTCATTTTATTTTGTGTCATCTGTCTTTTCCTTACTCTGGATGCCCTGAAATTGCATGATTAATATTCCCATCCCAAGCTGCACCCCAATAAAGCATTAGTACACAGGCTTGTTTTTAATGAATCTCATCTAAGACATCAAAATTGCTGAATATTTTTCCAAATGGTGGAATCACAGATAGTACATGGGTATATTCACTATTCTAACATCTAGCAAAATGAACATTAGAACATTTTATTTTCTATATGGCTTACATTCTCCTCTGGCATTTACTTTGTGAAGTAGATGTGGATTAAATTTATCAATTTTCATGTCCATAGGGAAGAAAATAATAGATTATTTGATACTTTATGATGGAAAAACTTAGGTTACATAGCGAGGTGTCAAGTTCAATATAGGGGGAAATGCTCAGGGCTGCAACTTTTTAAAGCTGTCTCCACAAATTAAGGCATTTCTCCAGGTTTGAAAATTATGAGTTGTTTAGTAAAAATAAATGAGATTATGTTCTTATAACAACTTAAAGATGCTACTTCATTAACTAAAGACAAGAAAATATACCTGTTAAAATCTTGTACGTCTATTACTCATATAGTTGTTTATTATATCAAGGAGCTTAAGGGCAGAGACTATGGGGTTTTCTAGATATAGAGCGATATCATCTGAAAACAGCGATAGTTTGACTTCCTAATTAGGTGTCTTTATATCTTTCTCTTGCCTGATTGCACTGTCCATGACTTGCAGTACTATGTTCCATAAGAGTAGTGAGAGTGAGGATCTTTGTCTTGTGCCAGTTTTCAAGGGGAATGCTTCTAGGATTTGCCTACTCAGGAAAATGTTGGCTCTGGGTTTGCCATATATGTATCTTATTACTTTAAGGTATGTTCCTTCAATACCTAGTTTGTTGAGAGTTTTTAACATGAAAATATGTTGAATTTTATCAAAAGTCTTTTCTGCATGTATTGAGATTATTAGGTGGTTTTTGTTTTAGTTCTATTTATAAGATGAATCACATTTATTTATTTGTATGTGTTGAACCAACTTTGCATCTCAGTAATAAAGCCTACTCGATTGTGGTGGACTAGCTTTTTGGTGTGCTGCTGGATTCATGTTGCTAGTATTTTGTTGAGAATTTTTGCATCTTTGTTCATCAAGAATATTTGCCTGAAGTTTTATTTTTTGGTTGAGTCTCCTCCAGGTTTTAGTATCAGCATGATGCTGGCCTCATGAGTGAGTTAGGAAAGAGTTTCTTCTCCTCAGTTTTTTGGCATATTTTCAGTAGGAATAGTACCAGCTGTTCTTTGTACATCTGTAAGAAATTGGTTGTGAATCCATTTAGTCCTTTTTTTTTTTTTTTTTGATTGGTAGGTTATTTATTACTGATTCAATTTTGGAGCTCATTATTGGCCTGTTCAGGGAATCAAATTCTTCCTGGGTCAGTCTTGAGACAGTGTATGTGTCCAAGAATCTGTCCATCTCATCTAGGTTTTGTAGTTTGTGTACATAGAGGTGTTTATAATAGTCTCTGATGGTTATTTGTATAATATTTCTGTGGAGTAAGTCGTAACATTCCCTTGGTCATTTCTAATTCTATTTATTTGGATGTTCTCTCTTTTCTTGTTAATAGTCTAGTTAGTGGCCTATCTTATTATTTTTTTTCCAAAAAAAATCAACTCCTGGATTTGTTGATCTTTTTATTGGTTTTTCATGTCTCAATTTTCTTCAATTCTGCTCTGAATCTGCTTATTTATTGTCTTCTGCTAGTTTTGGAGTTTGTTTCTTGTTGCTTCTCTAGTTCTTTTAGTTGTGATGTTAGCTTGAGATCTTTTTAACATTTTTATGTGGGCATTTAGTGTTATAAATTTTCCTCTTAACACTAACTTAGCTGTGTCACAGAGATTCAGGTTTGTTTTATCATTGTTCTCATTGGTTTCAAAGAACTTCTTGATTTCTGCCTTAATTTCCTTATTTACCCAAAAGTCATTCAGAAGGAGGTTTTTTTTGTATTTCCATGTAATTGCATGATTTCAAGTGATTTTTTTTGTCTTCATCTCTCTATTTTTATTGTGCTGCAGTCCAAGAGTGTATTCGGTATGATTTCAGTGATTTTGTATTTGCTGAAGATTGTTTTATGTCTGATTATGTGGTTAATTTTAGAGTATGTGTCATGTGGTGGTAAGAAGAATGTACATTCTATCACTTTTTAACTACAGAGTTCTGTATATGTCTTTGAGATCTAATTGATCCAGTGCTGAGTTAAGGTCCTGAATATCTGTGATGATTAATATTAAGTGTCAACTTTACTGTATTGATAGATGCAAACTATTGTTTCTGGGTGTGTCTGTGAGGGTGTTGCCAAAAGAGATTAACATTTGAGTCAGTGGACTGGGAGAGGAAGACCACCCTCAATCTGGGTGGGCACCATCCAGTAGGCTGCCAGTATGGCTAGAAAAAGGAGGCAGAAGAAGGTGGAATAAGCTGGTTTGCTGAGTCTTCCAGCTTTCTCCTGTGCTGGATAGTTCCTGCATTCAAACATCAGACTCCAGGTTTTTCAGTTTTTGGACTCTTGGACTTGCACTAGTGGTTTGCCAAGGGTTCTCAAGCCTTTGGCCACAGACTGAAGTCTGCACTGTTGGTTTTCCTGCTTTTGAGGCTTTCAGACTTGGACTAAGCCACTACCGGCTTTTTTGCTCCTCAGCTTGCAGATGGCCTATGGTGAGACTTCACCTTGTGATTGTGTGAGTCAAGTCTCCTTAATAAATTCCCTTTACTATATACATATATCCTATTAGTTCTGTCCCCCTGAAGAACCCTGACTAATACAATATCTTCGTAATTATCTGCCTTGATGAGCTGTCTAATACTGTCAGTGGAGTGTTGAAGTCTCTCACTGCTATTGTACGGAAGTCTAAATCTCTGTGTTGGTCTCTAAGAATTTGCGTTATGAATCTGGGTGCTCCTATGTTGGGTACATATATATTTTGGATAGTTAGGTCTTTTGTTGAATTGAACCCTATACTATAATGTAATGTTTTCTTTTGTCTTTTTTTAAATCTTTGTTGGTTTAAAGTCTGCTTTGTCTGAAATTAGAATTGCAACCCCTTCTTTTTTCTGTTTTCCATTTGCTTCATAGATTTTCCTCCATCCCTTTATTTTGAAACTATGAGTGTCATTGAATGTGAAATGGATCTCTTAAAGACAGCATAGCTTTCAGTCCTACATTTTATTTAGTTTGCAACTCTCTGCCTTTTAAATGGGGTAGTTAGCCCATTAACACTCAAGGTTACCATTAATATGTGTGGTTTTGATCCTGCCATCATGATGTTAGCTTGTTATTGTGCAGGCTTGTCTGTGTGGTTGCTTTACAGTTATCACTGGTTGTGATGGATAACTGAGTATGAACTTGATTGAATTAAAAGATGCAAAGTGTTGCTCCTGGGTGTCTTTATGGTGGTGTTGCCAAAGGAGATTAACATTTGAGTTAGTGGACTGGGAAAGGCAGACCCACCTTTAATCTAGGTGGGCATAATCTAATCAGCTGCCAGCAGGGCCAGACTAAAAAGCAGGCAGAAGAACATGAAAAGACTAGAATACCTTAGCCTCCCAACCTACATCTTTCTCCCATGCTGCATGCTTCCTGTCCTTGAATATCAGACTCCAAGTACTTTAGCTTTGGAAAATGTACTGGCTTCCTTGCTCCTCAGCTTGCAGATGGCCTATTGTGGGACATTGTGATCATGTGAGTTAATACTCATTAATAAACTCCCCTTTGTGTATACATCTATTATATTGGTTCTGTCCCTCTAGAGAACCCTGACTAATACAGATATTGGTACCAGGAGTGGTTCTAGAGGAACAGAATATTAAGGATGGAGTTCTTTCATTGGTTTTGGGGTTTCTGGAGTTGGCTGCTTAATGTGATTAGACTTCAAAATGCTAAGGACTCTACTTTTAATAGTGTGGAGAACACTGATAGTCCTTGGCATGAACTGTTTAGAGAATTATGCAAAATAAATACATTAGACACTCCAGATTCACCACTTGTGAGAGGCAAGGAGTTTAATGACCCTATACATAATACTTTTGACCATATGTGGAGAACCCAAGAACATAATAAAGTTGGTTGGTTGCTCCTAAGTCCACTGGATAAAGTGATGAAAAAAAATGTTGAACTCAGGGATTCTAACTCCCATCTTCAGAAGTACATACTAAGCCTCAAATCTTCTAAGATTGCCCTGAGCAAGAGTCTTATCTCATGTAGAGAAAGAGCTGAAATTGTAGAAAATCTGACACAGGTTCTTAAAATGCAAGTGGCTGACCTGCAACAAAATGTGCATGCACAGCCTTGCCAGGTGTCTACTGTTAAAGTGAGGACATTGATTTGTAAAAAATGGGACCCCGCAACTTGGAAAGGTGATGTGTGGGAGGACCCTGATGAAGCTGGGGACACTGAGCTTGTAAACTCTGATGAATCTTTTTACCAGAAGAAACAGCTTCCCCATCCCCAGTAGTGGCAAGATCCCCTCCAAGACCCATGCTGCCATCAGCCTTTCCACCTTTGTCTGAGGAGATAAACCCTGCACTAACTGAGGCAACAGTGATGGCCTCTCCTGAGGCAGCTACGAGGCAAGATAATGTTGATTCTCCTCAATACCCACCCCGAACACCCTTGTGTGCTTCTAGACCTATAACTAGATTGAAGTCCCAGTGGGCCCATAGAGGTGAGGTCAGAGTGTGACCCACGAGGAGGTGCACTACACTTGAAAAGAACAGCTTGAGTTTTCTAATTTGTATAAGCAGGAATCTAGATAACAGGCATGAGAATGGATATTAAGGGTGTGGGATAATGGTGGAAGGAACATAGAGTTGAATCAGGCTGACTTTTTTGATTTGGGCCCACTAGGTAGGGATTCTGCATTTAATGTTGCACCTCAGGGAGTTAAAAAATATTCTAATAGTTTATTTGCTTTGTTAGCTGAATTATAAATTAAAAGATGGTCCACTGTGAGCGAGCTGGAAATGCCAGATTTTCTCCCTTGGTTTAATGTAGAGGAAGGGATCAAAAGGCTTGTAGAGATTGGGATGGAGGAGTGGATTAGTCACTTTAGACCTACTCATCCCAGCTGGGAGGGTCCAGAAGATATATCCTTGAACAATGCTTTGTGAAATGGATTTGTGAAGGCAGAACCTGCATCTTTGAAGAGCTCTGTATGAATTGCTCTTCTCTGTATGACAGATCTAACAGTGGGAACCACAGTCACTTAACTACAAAATTTAAATGCAATGGGAATAATTGGATACTAAGGTGGCAGGGGACAAGTGGGGATGCTCAACCATCAAAGGCCAGATGGGCATAGCCACCATAATAGACAGCAGGGGCAAAGCAGAAATCAGAATAGTTTGACTCATATAGAGCTCTGGCATTGTCTAATTAATCACAGTTTCTGTAGAAGTGAAATTCATAGGAAGACGATTGCATCCCTACTTAATTTATGTAAGCAGGAAACTTCCAGGTCAAGTGGACAAAATACTAATTTGAATTATAAAAGCTGAGAGTCACAGCCCCTCAATCAATTTTCAGGTGAGTCAGTTTACAGACCCAGAATCCCTTGAATGGAAGAGAGGCCAGGTCCCCTTGTTGAGGGAGGAACTCACTACACTACCAACAATTTATGCTATTAATCTTTCTCTCATCCTTCCCCAAGGAGACCTCTGGCCTTTTACCAGGATCAGTCACTGTGTATTGGGAAAGGGAAATAATCAGACATTTTGGGGACTACTGGACACTGGCTCTGAACTGCCATTGATTTTAAGGGACATAAAACAGCATTGCGGTTCTCCAGTTAAAGTAGGGGCTGATGGAGGTCAGGTAATTAGTGGAGGTTTAGCTCAGGTTTGACTTACAGTGGGTCCATTGGATCCTTGGACTCATACTATAGTCATTTCCCTAGTGCCAGAATACATCATTGGCATAGACATACTTAGCAGCTGGCAGAACCCTCCACATTTGCTGCCTGGTTGGTAGGATGAGGGCTATTATGGTGGAAAAGGCCAAATGGAAGCCATTAGAGCTGCCACTTCCTAAAAAAAAAGTAAATAAAAAACAATATTGCATCCCTGGAGGGATTGCAGAGATTAGTGCTGCAATCAAGGACTTGAGAGATGCAGGGGTGGTTATTCCCACCACATACCCTTTCAACTCTTCCATTCAGTCTGTGTAGAAGACAGTTGGATCTTGGAGAATGACAGTGGATTATTGTACACTTAACTAAATGGTGACTTCAATTGCATCTGCTGTAGAAGATGTGGTTTCATTGCTTGCACAAATAAACACATCTCCTGGTACCTGGTATGAAGTCATTGGCTTGACTAACGTCCTCGTGTCCATTCTTGTCCATAAGGCCCACCAGAAGCAATCTGTCTTCAGCTGGCAAGGCCAGCAATATAACTTTACTGTCCTACCTCAGGAGTATATCAACTCTCTGGCTTTGTGTCATAATCTTGTTTGGAGTGACCTTAATTGATTTTCCCTTCCACAAGGTATCACACTCGTTCATTACATTGATGACATTACACTGATTGGATCCAGTGAGCAAGAAGTAGCAAACATACTGGACTTATTGGTGAGACATTTGCATGCCAGTGGATAGGTAATAAGCCTGACTAAAATTCAGGTATCTTCTACCTCGATAAAATTTCTAAGGGTCCAGTGGTGTGGGGCCTGTCAAGATATTCCTTCCAAGGTGAAGGATAAGTTGCTGCATTTGGCCCCTCCTACAACCAAGAAAGAGGCACAATGCTTAGTGGGCCTATTTGGATTTTGGAGGCAACACATTCCTCATTTGGGTGTGTGTTACTCCAGCCCATTTATTGAGTTACCTGAAAGGGTGCCAGATTTCAGTGGGGTCCAGAACTAGAAGAAGGCTCAGCAACAGGTCCAGGCTTCTGTGCAAGCTGCTCTGCCACTTGGGCCATATGACCCAGCAGACTCAATGGTGCTTGAGGTCTCAGTGGCAAATAGGGATGCTGTTTGGAGCCTCTGGCAGGTCCCCATAGGTGAATCACAGCAGAGGCCTGTAGGATTTTGAAGCAAGGCCCTGCCATCTTCTTCAGATAACTACTCTCCTTTTGAGAGACAACTCTTGGCCTGTTACTGGGCTTTGGTGGAAACTGAATGTTTGACCAAGAGTAAAGTCACCATGCAGCCTGAACTGCCTATCATGACCTGGGTGCTTTCTGACCCATCTTGCCATAGAGTCGTTCATGCACAGCAGCATTCCATCATCAAATGGAAGTAGTATATACGTGATCGGGCTTGAGCAGGTCCTTAAGGCACAAGTAAGTTACACGAGGAAGTGGCTCAAATGCCCATTATTTTCCTGCCACCCTACCTTCTTTCCCTCAGCCTGCACCAATGGCCTCATGGAGAGTTTCCTATGATCACTTGACAGAGAGAGAGAGAAATCTAAGGTCTGGTTCACAGATGGTTCTGCATGATATGCAGGTACCACCCACAAGTGCACAGCTGCAGCACTACAGTCCCTTTCAGGACATCCCTGAAAGAAAGTGGTGAAGGGAAATCTTCCCAGTGGGCAGAACTTTGAGTAGTGCATCTGGTTGTGCACTTTTTATGGAAGGAAAAATAACTAGATGTGCAATTATATACTGTTTCATGGGCTGTAGCCAATGGCTTGGCTGGATGATCAGGGACTTGGAAGAAACATGATTGGATAATTGGTGACAAAGAAATTTGGGGAAGAGGTATGTGGATAGACTTTTCTGAGTGGCCAAAAAAAAGGGGATGATATTTGTATCCCATGTGAGTGCTCACCAATGCGTGACCTTAGCAGAAGAGATTTTAATAATCAAGTGGATAGGATGACCTGTTCTGTAGACACTACTCAGCCTCTTTTTCCAGCTTCTCCTGTCATCGTCATCACTCAACGGTCTGATGAACAAAGTAGCCATTGCGGCAGGGATGGAGGTTATGCATGAGCTGAGCAACATGGATTTCCAGTCACCCAGGCTGACCTGGCTATGTCCACACCCAATTTGCCGCAGCAGAGACGAACACTGAGCCCTCAATATGGCCCTAGTCCTCAGGGTGTTCAGCCAGTTATCTGGTGGCAGGTTGATTATACTGGGCCTCTTCCATTATGGAAAGGGCAGAGAGGTTTGTCCTCACTGGAATATACACTTATTCTGGATGTAGGTTTGTCTATCCTACACACAATACTTCTGCCAAGACTACCATCTGTGGACTCATGGAATGACTTATCCACCATCATGGTATTCCACACAGCATTGCCTCTGACCAAGGCACTCACTTTACATCTAAAAACATGTGGCAGCGGGCTCATGCTCATGGAATTCACTGGTCTTACCATGTTCCCCATCATCCTGAAGCAGCTGGATGGATAGAATGATGGAATGGCCTTTTGAAGTCACAACTAAAATGCCAATTAGGTTATAATACTTTGCATGGCTGGGACAAGGTTCTCCAGAAGGCTGTGTTTGCTCTGAATCAGCATCCAATATATGGTACTGTTTCTCCCATAGCCAGGAATCATGGGTCCAGGAATCAAGGGGTGGAATTGGAAGTGGCAACACTCACCATCACCCCTAGTGACCCACTAACAACATATTTGCTTCCTGTTTCTGTGACATTATGTTCTGCTGGCCTAGAGGTCTTAGTTTCAGAGGGAGGAATGCTGCCACCAGGAAACATAGCAATGATTCAATTAAACTGGAAATTAAGATTGCCACCTGGACACTTTGCACTTCTCCTACCTTTACACCAACAGCCTAAGAAGGGAGGTACAGTGTTGGCTGGGATGATTGACTCAGACTATCAAGATTCTATCAGTCTACTACTCTGCAACAGAGGTAAGAAAGATTATGCATGGAATACAGGAGATTCATTAGAGTGCCTCTTCTTATTACCATGCCCTGTGATATAAACTCCCCTTTATATATAAATCTATCCTATTAATTCTATCACTCTAACAAACCCTGACTAATACACTGGTCTTTTTAACCAGGCTGAATTGGATGAAATGACAGAAGTAGAATTCAGAATATGAATAGAAATGAAGATCATTGAGATTCAGGAGAATGACACAACCCAATTCAAGGAAACTAAGAATCACAATAAAATAATACAGGTGCTGACAGATGACATAGCCAGCATAAAAAATAAACTAACTCATCTGATGGAGCTGAAAAACACACTGCAAGAATTTCACAATGCAATGACAGGTATTAACAGCAGAATAGACTGAGCTGAGGAAAGAGTCTTAGAACTTGAAGAGTAGCTGTCTGAAATAAGGCAGTAAGACAAAAATAAAGAAAAAAATGAAAAGGAATGAATAAAACCTCCAAGAAATATGGGATTATGTAAATAGGCCAAATCTACAAATCATTGACATTCCTGAAAGTAAAAGGGAGAAAGCCAACAACTTGGTAAATGTATTTCAGGGCATCATCCATGAAAACTTCCCCAACCTCAATAGAGAGGCTGACAATTAAATTCAGAAAATACAGAGAACCTCTGCAAGATTCTACACAAGAAGATCATCCCTAAGACACATAACCATTAGATGTTCAAATGTTGAAATGAAAGAAAAAATATTAGGGGAAGCTAGGGAGAAAGGGCAGGTCTCCAATGAAGGGAATCACATCAGGCTAACAGCAGACCTCTCAGCAGAAACCTTACAAGCCAGAAGAGAGTGGGAGCCTATATTCAACACGCTTATAGAAAAAAATTTTCAACCAAGAATTTCATATCCAGCCAAACAAAGCTTTCTGAGTGAAGGAGATATAAGATACTTTTATGACAAGCAAATGCTGACCTTGTTTGTTACCACCAGACCCACTATACAAGATATATTGAAAGGAGCACTAATTATGGAAAGGAAAACAATTACCAGCCAATACAAAAACAAACTTAAGTAGTGCAGATGTTGATACAATAGAAAAGAGAAATAACAACTTCGTATTATTGTGAGAGCAACATTGACTTCACAGACGCTTAAAAGTCCTTAGCTTCTCCAGGGATCCAGGGACTACATTTGCAGAAACTCAGCTGTAGATACTACCCAAGCTGGATCTTGAATAGAGGAGGGGATTCTTTTTTAAGTTTTAGAAATTGCTTATAAAGTCACATTGAAAAATATAATATTTGGTATTTCCAGATCCATTACTCTTGAGATAAAATAAAGAAACTTATCTTTATGTTTTTCTCTTTCTTTCCTATCTGCCCTTAACTCCAGGTTTGTGACAGAGGTATCTATTTGTCACTCAAAAAGCACATCTAAATGGAAATTTTCTTTTCTACTAAGTCCTTGATTTTCTTTATTGTTTTAACTTGTACTTATTTAACTTTTATTTCACTTATTTATTACACTTATTTAATTTTATTTTGGTTTGTTATATAGGTACATTTTGTGTCACAGAGGTCTGGTGTACAGATTATTTCATTACCCAGGTAATAAGCTAGTACCCAATAGGTAGTTTTTCAATCCTCACCCTCCTATTACCCTCCACCCTCAAGTAGGCCCCAATGTCTGTTTTTCCTTTCTTTGTGTCCATATGCCTCTGTAAGGTTAGCTGAGAGAAACTAAAAATAGACCCGAAGTCAGGCAAGCAAGTTTTATTAACCTGCTGGCTGCCCCCTTAACAGTCAGAGAGGAAGAAGCCCCAAGCTTACAGAATGAGGGGTTTACACTGGGGAGGGTCGTTTGAGGGAGTTCTTTGGTATGGCCGCATCCCGGGGTTGTTTGCTGGTTAATTTTGTCACATATCACCTTGTGACGTTTATGGTAGCAGCTAGATGAAGAACAGGAACTTACAAGGAGGTGTAGGTAAAGTTTGTTTATGCTTCCCACGACCTCCCCCTGTGCTGTAGGAATGGTTTGTATTGGGGTTTGCTTATCGCAGCAAGGTCTGATAAGTGAAGTCTGCTGGTTTCACCGCTTAAGGGCTGAGAAATGTAAAGAAGCTTGGGGGAAGGGTGGGCGGCAAGGAGAAGAGTTGCAGAGCGTTAGGTGGAGGGGTGGGCAGCACCAAGAAGCTTTCTTAGGGCAGTTTGTCCCTAACATACTCAATGTTTAGCTCCTACTTATAAGTGAGAAAATGCAGTATTTACTTTTCTGTTCCTATGTTAGTTTGCTTAGGATAATGGCCTCCAGCTCCATCCGTGTTGCTGCAAAACACATGTTCTCATTCTTTTTAATGGCTGCATAGTATTCCATGGTATATATAAACCACATTTTCTTTATCCAGTCTCCCACTGATGGGCATATAGGTTGATTCCCTGTCTTTGCTATTGTAAATAGTGCTGTGATGAACACATGCATGCATGTGTCTTTATGTTGGAAGAATTTATATTTCTTTGGGTATACCTAATAATGGAAATACTGGGTTGAATGTTAATTATGTTTTAAGTTTTTTGAAAAATGGCCAAACTGCTTTTCTAAATGACTATACCAATTTACATTCCTACCAGCAGTGTGTAAGCATTCCTTTTTCTCTGCAACCTCACCAGCATCTACTATTTTTTGACTTTTTAATAATAGCCATGCTGGGTGATGTGAGATGGTATCTCATTTTGATTTTGATTAGCATTTCTCTAATAATTAGTGATGTTGAGCATTTTTTCATATGCTTGTTGGCCGTTTGTATGTTTTCTTTTGAAATGTGTCTGTTAATGTCCTTTGCTCAATTTTTAATGCAATTAAAAACACATAAAGTATGAAGCCTTAGAATAAAAATTATAATCAAGGTAAAAAGCAGCGAAGATAATTAATATCCACAAATGTACATTACTTCATTCTGACTTTTATACATTTAATAAGCACTCATGGAGTACCTTTTTGTGTATGATACTGTGGCAAAGCAAAAGATAGTTATATAGGCATGAAAACTAAGTATTTTTCTCAAAACATTTTATTCAGTGAGTTTCATGCGCGTCCGTGTGAAGAGACCACCAAACAGGCTTTGTGTGAGCACCATGGCTGTTTATTTCACCTGGGTGCAGGCGGGCTGAGTCCGAAAAGAGAGTCAGCAAAGGGTGGTGGATTATCATTAGTTCTTATAGGTTTTGGGATAGGCGATAAAGTTAAGAGCAATGTTTTACGGGTAAGGGTGGATCTCACAAAGTACATTCCCAAGGGTGGGGAGAATTACAAAGAACCTTCTTAAGGGTGAGGGAGATTACAAAGTGCATTGATCAGTTAGGGTGGGGCAGAAACAAATCACAATGGTGGAATGTCATCAGTTAAGGCTATTTTTACTTCTTTTGTGGATCTTCAGTTACTTCAGGCCATCTGGATGTATATGTGCAAGTCACAGGGGATGCGATGGCTTGGCTTGGGCTCAGAGGCCTGACAGAGAGAAAGTGAAATGTACTAATAGAAGTATTATAATAGGTATAAATTTAGTTATCAATTATCATGGTGAAATATTCAAAAATGGATTAATTTTTAGAAAAAAAAAGCTTTTGTTTTATTATGTGTTAGTAACTGTTCTGTAGACTAAACATGAATTATTTTATTTCCTTCTGATCACAATTTTATGAGGAAATACTGCTATTCTTCCCATTTTACATACAGGAAAACCAAAGCATAGTGTGGCTATTTAAACTTACTTTAGTCTGACTCTGAAGGTTGCATGTTTAATCATTATGTAAGACTTCAGCATTAAAACTAACGGTACAGTTCTTGCTTTTGTGGCCTGAGATTGTTCTGTAATAAATAGAAAATCATTACCAAGGGCCAATGTACAGGAGCTGTTTCTCTATGTTCTCTTCTAGGAGTTTTATAGTTTCTTATATTTGTGTCATTTTTAGTAGATTTTTGTGTATGTTACAAGGGTTCAGTTTCATTCTTTGGAGTTTGAAAATCCATTTTTCCTAGTACCATCTATTGAAGAGACTATTCTTTCCTCATTGCATCCTCTTGGTGCCTTTTTCAAAAATTAATTGACTGTGTATATTTTATTTCCAGGCTCTCTATTCTGTTCCATTAGTCTGTGTCTGTTCTTATGCAAGTACTACACTGTTTTGATTACTATAGCTTTGGAGTGTTATATTAAATTAGGAATTGTGATGCTCTCAATTTTTTTTTTCTTTCTTGAAATTGTCTTGCATATTTGGAGTCTATCACAGTTCTCAACAAATTTTAGAAATTTTAATTTTTTTCTGTAAATAATATAATATGGTTTGGATCTGTGTTCCAACCCAAATCTCATGACAAATTGTAACCCCCAATGTTGGAGGTGGGGCCTAGTGGAAGGTAATTGGCTAATGAGAGCTAAGTTTTCATTAATGGGTTAGCTTCAGCCCCTCAGTGCTGTTCTCATAATAGTGAGTGAGTGAATTATCATGAGATCTGGTTGTTTAAAAATGTGTAGCACCATCCCCATCTATCTCTCTTCCTCCTACTCTGGCCATGTAAGACATGCCTGCTTCCCCTTCACCTTCTGCCATGATTGTAAGTTTCTGAGACCTTCTCAGTACCGGAAGCCACTATGCATCCTGTACAGCCTGCAGAACTATGAGCCAATTAAACTCTTCTGTTTATAAATTATCCAGCTTCAGGTATTTCTTTATTGCGGTGTGAGAAAAAACTAATACTAAAAATTTGTACCAAGAATTGGGGCATTGCTACAAAGATAACTGAAAATGTGGAAGGAGCTTTGGAACTAGGTAATGAGCAGAGGTTGTGAGAGCTGGGAGAGCTCAGAAGAAGATAGGAGGATGAGAGAAAATTTAAAACTCCCTAGAGGCTGGTTAAGTGGTTGCAACCAAAATGCTGATAAAGATATGGACAATAAAGTCCAAGGTGATGAAGTCTCAGATGGAGATGAAGAAGATATTGGGAATAAAAACAAAGGTAATTTTTGTTATGTGTTACCAAATAACCTGGCAGCATTGTGGCTCCGCTCTAGGGATCTGTGGAACTTTGTGCTTGAGAGTAATGATTTAGGGTTATCTGGAGGAAGGAGTTTCTAAGCATCGCAGTGTTCAAGATGTGGCCTGGCTGCCTCTAACAACCTATGTTCATATGTGTGAGGAAAGCAAAGACCTAAAACTCGAACTAACATTTAAAAGGGAAGTAGAGCATTAAAGTTTAGAAGATGTGCAGCCTGGCCATCTGGTAGAAAAGAAAAGCCCATTTTTTTAGGGAAGGAATTCAAGCAGGCTGTAAAAATTTGCATAAGTAAAAAGAATCCAAATGTTAATAACCAAGACAATGAGGAGGCCTCAAAAACATTTCAGAGACTTTCCCGGTAGCCTATCCCATCACAGGCCCAGAGACCTAGCAGAGAAGAATGTTTTTGTGAGCCAAGACCAGGACCCCACCACACCGCATATCCTTGGGACACTGCTTCCTGCGTCCCAGCCACTCTATCTCCAGCCATGGCTCAATAGGGCCCAGGTACAGCTTGAACTGTTGCTTCAGAGGGTGCAAGCCATAAGCTTTGGCAGCTTCCACATGGAGTTAAGCCTGCAGGTGAGCAAAGTGCAAGAGTTGAATGTTGAGAGCCTCTGCCTAGATTTCAGAGGATGTATGGAAAAGCCTGGTTGTCCTGGTCTGCAGGGGAAGACCCTTTATGGAAAACCTCTACTAGGGCAGTGTGGAAAGGAAATTTGGAGATGGAGCCTCCACATGGAGCCACCACTGGGGCACTGAATAGTGGAGCTCTGAGAAGAAGGCCACCATCTTCCAGAACCTGGTATTGTAGATCCACTGGAAGACTGAACATTGTGCTTGGAAAATCTAAATGCACTCAATCCAGACCATGAGAGCTGCTGAGGGTGCTGATCCCTTCAAAGCCACAGGGTCAGAACTGACCAAGGCCTTGGAAACCCAAGCATTGCATCTGTGTGCCCTGGATGTGGGACATGAAATAAAAAGATATTATTTTGGAGCTGTAAAGTTTAATGACTGCTCTGCTGGTTTTCAGACTTGCATGGGGCCTGTAGCTTCTTTCTACTGGCCAAGAATGTCTGTCATTTAGATTGAAAGTATTTATCCCATTGTATCTTGAAAGTAACTAACTTTTTTCTACTTTACAGGCTTATGGGTAGAAGAGACTTGCCTTGTCTCAGATGAGACCTTTGATTTTGGACTTCGGAGTTAATGCTGGAATGAGGTAAGACTTTGGTGGACTGTTGGGAAGGCATTACTGTATTTTGAAATGTGAGAGGGACATAAAATTTGGGAGGGGCTGGGGGTGGATTGATATAGTTTGGATCTTTGTTCCCACCCACATCTCATGTTGAATCATAATCACCAATGTTGGAAGTGGGGTTTGGGGGGAGTGATTGGATTATGGGGGTAGCGTTCTCATAAATGGGTTAGAACCATTCCATCAGTGCTGTTCTCGTGATAGTGAGTGAGTGAGTTATCATGATATCTGGTTGTTTAAAAGTGTGTAGTACCTCCCACTTCTCTCTCTCTTTCTCCTGCTCAGGCCATGTAAAATGTACCTGCTTCCCTTTCACCTTCCCCGATAATTGTAAGTTTCCTGAGGCATCCCCAGAAGCAGAAGCTGCTATGCTTCCTGTACAGCCTGTAGAACCATGAGGCAGTTAAACTTCTTTTCTTTATAAATTATGCAGTTGCAGGTATTTCTTTATAGCAGTGTGAGAATGAAGTAAAACAGGATGTCAGTGGGATTTTAGTAGGTATTGCATTGTTTCTGCATATAGTTTTGAGTAATATAGACATTTTTAAAATGCTAATTCTTCCAGTGCATGAACATGGAATATATTTCCATTTATTTGTGTCTTGAATTTTTTCATCAGTGCTTTGAGGTTTTCAATCTAGAGATCTTTTACCTCTTGGATTGAATTTATTCCTAGGTATTTTTTTTCATATGCTATCATAAATGAGATTGTTTTCTTGACTTATTTTTCAGTTAGATTATTATGTATTTATTAAAATGCTACTGATTTTTATATGATTTTGTATCTTGCAACACTGTAACATTTGTTATTAGTTCTAAGAATTTTTATGTGATTTGTTTTTCATTTTTTATATATAAAATTATGCCATCTGCAAAAAGAGATAATTTTGCTTCTTTCTTTTCAGTTTTGATGCCTTTTCTGTCTTTTTCTCATGTGATTGTTCTTGCTAGTACTTCCAGTATTATGTTGAATAGAAGTAATGACAGTTGGCATTCTTGCTTTGTACTGAATCATAATGGAGAAGACTTCAGGTTTTTCTCCATTAGTTAGAATATTATCTGTGTGTTTTCATAATTGGCTTTTATTTTATTGAAGAAGTTTCTTCTATACTTAAATTGTTCAGAGTTTTTAACAATAGAGTGGTGGACTTTATTGAATGCTTTTTTCATGTCAATTGAGATGATCATGTGGTTTGTGTCTTTCATTCTGTTAACGTGGTATATCCCATGAATTGATTACATATGTTAAACCACTCTTGAATACCAGGAATAAATTCCACCTGGTCACAATATGCAATTTTTTTGATGTGTTGTTGAATTTGGTTTGGTAATATTTTATTGAGAATATTTGCATCAATGTTTCTCAGAGAAATTGGCCTAAATTTTATGTGTGTGTGTGTGTGAGAGAGAAAGAGAGAGAGAGTGTGTGTGTGTGTGTGTGTGTGTGTGTGTGTGTGTGTGTAATATCTTTGTCTGGCTAGGATATCAAAGTGATATTAGCCTGCTAAAATCTGTTTGAAATTATGCTCTCTAGCTCTATTTTTTGGAATATTTAAGTAGTACTGTTATTATACTTTGAATGCTTGAATGTTCTTTGAATGTTTGGTAAAATTCAGCTGTGAAGCCATTTGGTTCTGAGCTTTTCTTTGTCAAGAGTTTTTTTGATTACTTCTTCAATATCTTTATTTGTTATTGGTCTGTTCAGGTTTTCTCTTTTTCCCTGATTCAATCTTAATAGGTTGTATTTTTCTAAATGGAACTATATCAAACCAAAAACCTTCTGCATAGCAGAGGAAATACTCAAAAAATGACATGGAAAACTATAGATTGGGAAAAATATATTTGCAATCCACATATATGATAAAGGAATAATATCCAAAATTTACATATAACTCATAAAACTCAATAGTGGAAAAACAAATCACTCAATTTTATAGAATGGGAAAAGACCTGAATAGATATTTTCCCAAAACAGACATAAAAATAGCCAACAGGCATTTTAAAAAGTACTAAACATCATTAATTATCAGGGAAATGCAAATCAAAATCACTATGAGATACCACTTCACACTCATTAGGATGGCTACTATTAAAATGTCAAAAGACAGCAAATGTTGGTGAGGGTGTGGAAAAAAGGGAATTCTCATACATTGCTGGGGAGAATATAGATTGGTACAGCCATTATGGAAAACAGTATGGAGGTTTCTAAACATAGCCATAATACCCAGCAATCACTCTTCTTGGCATATATCCAAAGGAAACAAAATCATTACATAATAAAGACACCTGCAATCTCATGTTTATTGCAGCTTTTTTACAATAACTGATGTATGGAATAAACCTAAGTGTTCATCAATGAATAAATGGATAAAGAAACTGCATCACATATACACAATGGAATATTATTTTACACTTAAACAGAAAAAAAAATTACCATTTGCCACAGCATGGATGAGCCTGGAGGACATTATTCTAAGTTAAATAAGCCAGATACAGAATGAAAAATATTTCATTATCTTACTAATATGTGAAATCTAAAAACAAATTCAAATACACAGAGATGAAGAAATGGGGAGATGTGGGCCAGAGGATACAAAGTAGGAATTATGTAGGATTAACAAGTTTAAAATCTAATGTGCAACATGAGGAGTACTGGTGATAAAACTGTATTGTATGTGGGATTCATAATAAATGAGTAGGTTTTATCTGCTCTTGACACGAAAACAAAAAAAAAGATAATGGGTAACTATGTGAAATGATTGAAATGTCATTTGCCTCACTAAAGTTACCTTTTAAAACTATCTATATGTATCCCATAACATAATGTCATATACTTTATATATACACAGTAATATTTATTTTTAAAAATCATAGAACAAATTAAGAAACAGAAATTGTGCTTCTTTTGTCTTCCTCTGTTTAAAAATTTAACCAACCATGCAACAAACAGATGAAAATTATCTTCTAATATATATTTGGAAAAGCAGAAATAAAGTTTAATATCAGACAACATTAAATACAAAAGCAGACCCAACTAAATATATTCTGTTTATATGTTGTAATTTAAGCATGATGGTACTAATAGGTGATAGTAAAAAGGTGGAAAAAGAAATTCTATGAAAAAATAAATATAAAATCATTTCCAAGGCTATATTAATATCAGAAACAGGATTAGTAAAAGGCTCATGTGCACTGTTGATTTACAAACTATGGAAATATCTTCAATACTCTCTCAAAAATATAATGAATATTTACACAATTAACTTTGCTTATTTAGCAAGAAAAAATTGATATTCATGTTGTGGGATTTGGGCCTTTCTACTATTGAAGCTGTTAACTTTGGGTTTTATAACACTGGTGTTCTCAGTGCACTTGTGAACTAGTAAAAACAGCCACACACTTCATTATTTCTTGGCTATGCATTCATATGTGTACCTCCCATTTGGAGAGTTAATTTTCTCGGGGATAATTTCACAACAGTTTTATACAAAATTCTTGAAATATTTATGTGAATGAATTGCTAAATAAAAATTACTCTAGCATTTTTGACAGTAGGGAACTTTCCCAATACTTTCCGAAAGCATGAAGAGTCCCAGAACTCTTTTTTTTTTTTTTTTTTGGGGAGACGGAGCCTCTCTCTGTCTCCCAGGCTGGAGTGCAGTGGTGCCATCTCGGCTCACTGCAAGCTCCGCCTCCCGGGTTCACGCTGTTTTCCTGCCTCAGCCTCCTGAGTAGTTGGGACTACAGGCGCCCGCCACCACGCCTGGCTAATTTTTTTGTATTTTTAGTAAAGATGGGGTTTCACCGTGTTAGCCAGGATGGTCTCGAACTCCTGACCTCGTGATCCGCCTGCCTCGGCCTCCCAAAATGCTGGGATTACAGGCGTGAGCCACCGTGCCCTGCCGAAGAGTCCCAGAACTCTTAACCATGTTATTTCTTTCTATATCTTTCATTTCCTCCTCAGCAACTACATGCCAAACCATTGTATGGCAAAGGACACTGACAATAGGGCCTGCTAGAAAACTGACTGAAGAACAGAATGAGAAAGACTTTCTTTCTGTTCCCCCATGTGTGGAGAAGTATGTGGGAAGATTCTCAACACCTTAAATGAAAGTCTTAAATTCTTTCGAGGATGTAGCAATTCATATTTAAGATAAGATTTGTTGATAGAATAATTTCATTTTCAAGTTGCCCTGTGCGTTTGCATGTTATGTATGTGTACATGTGCATGAGTGTAAGAGGATGGAAGAGTTCTCCAACAACCTGACATGAGGTTAACTAGCTACCCACAATGCCTGAAAACAAATCACTACATATTTTGCAAATCTGGGCTAAATGTGATGGCAATTCTTTTGGAAGGGAAGAATGCTGATGGAAAGGTTATATAGGCTTCATGCTTTTTTCACTAATGGCTAGAATGGCACATACGTACTCTCTTCCTGGATCCAAGGAGGAAAAAAAAGAAGGAAAAACTAATCTAGTAACAGAGGAATAAAATAATGTTGGGTGTATTAAATTTCCCGATTAAAATAGCTTTTTCACAGCTTTGAATAAAATCACTCAACTCATATTATTATTAATAAAAAATATTTTCTCTACATTTATTGGCCTAAGTTGTTTGCAATATTTAACATATTTTAATGCTTTCTAATACAGCTTTGTTCATATTTTTCTCAGAAAAGCTTAGAAAAACTTTACTAAAATTAGTCATTAGATATATACTTGCAAATCCATTGTCTTTAAAGAGATTTGCTTGTGTTCTATCTCAGGTGATTTCCTTGGTATGCTATTACAAATAAATAAAAGTCTATGCTATGCAAGCAATCCTGATGGAAGTTTGACATTAATATTCGCCCTACTTTTGCAGTCATTCAGAACTCATGTTTTGCAACTCTAATTGGAACTTGAAACTCAGGCTGGAAATTTTATTTTCTCAAATTAGCATTTACCAGGTTTCAATGTGTTTTGAAGCTTGAAAAATGACACCATGTATTTCCGATTGCATTAGACAACTTTTCAAACAAATGTATAAAATTATTTATGCTCCATTTCTCCCCACACTTTTTAAAATTTAATTTTTTATACAACGGGTTGTATTTAAGAATAAATACAAGGTGCAAGCAAAGTGCTTTACATTTGATGTAAAACCTTGAACCCTTCAGGTTGAAATGAACTTTTAATTGGTAAAGTGGAATTTTTCATATACAAACAACCTAGAATAATATAGAATTTTGAAATAGTTGCAAGACCTACCATTTAAAAGTGTCATGCTGTTCTAGGCATTGTGAGTTACAGATTGTTATCATTTTCATCTGAGGACACTCAGGTTCAGAGTTTAAGTAGATTGTGTTCATTTCTAATATGAATGTATTTTACTAGTTATGGCATAGATTGGAAATTATTCTATTGGTTTTGTATACAAGGACAACTTTCTATGTTAAATACAATGTTGAGAAAGCCACCAGTATTTGTGAAAGCAAATTTAAAGCTATCAATTGATTCATTTCATAGTAAAACCACTGTAAATTGTAAGGTATGCATTTCAAACATGAAGAAAGTCCTTGGCTGTAACTTATTATGATCCATATACCAAAACTTGTTGCCAACCAAAAGAAACAACCCACAAACACAAAGATCATTGGTGTGAATATATGCTGAACAATTTGATGTTACTGGAAACTTCTTTAACATTCCATAGCTTATTAAAGCATCTCTATTTGAGTGACTAAAGATCTGTATCAATTTCAGCAATTCAAACTGGAACACATAAGAAGAAATTTGATTCCAGTTTTACATATATTAATATTAGTATAATTCATTTCGGGTTAAATTCACCCTAATATTTTCAAGAAAGGATAGCTCCTACAATTCCTAAAATCCTTTTTCTGATCATTTCTCCTAGCTTACCTTCTTTGTTTCTTTTAGAACTTCCTTGATTATCCTGGATTTTTGTGTAATCCTGGCTTGCTATGTAGGTAATCTTAGTTAGTCATTCTGGTCTAGATTTATGGCCTTTGACCCTTTGGACATATAAATGATTGATTACATGGTTTGGGGGTCCAATACAAAATGCAAAATGTGGAGTCTGTTGTTAAAAAATCATTCAGAATTTCCGGACAACAAGTGCATTAAAGTGCTGAATCCTTTTAAGCCTAGTGCCTGTATAAGGGAACAAGTTGCATGCTTGTGAGGCCAGCTCCAGACCTATATAATAGTTATGAGTTTTTCCATTAGGATCAGGTAAGGGTTTTGGATTGGTCCATAATTAAACACAGATTAGTGACATTCAGTTGCATTTTTCATGTAAACAATTACATATTATAACCTACCAATGTTATTATCAGCCTATGTATATATTTATTTCAAATTTATCAGAGTAATACACTTCAAGAATCAATTTTTTTTCAGGCCACTAAGGTGCTACTTGTTGATTCTGCTATATTAAAATGTCTTTTACATGTTAAAACACCTTTTGCATCATGTTATTTTCCATCAAGAAAAAATAAACTAGATACAAAAAATAAGGGAAAAAAGTCAGACCTCAATATAATAAAGAACAAAGTGTACAAGAATTGACAAAAAGCATATTTATAATGGCAACTTTTTTTTTAATAACTCCTCTTCTTTTTTGAGACAGTGTCTCCCACGGTCGTCTAGGCTGCAGTGCAGTGGTGCCATCTAGGCTCACTGTACCTCCACCTCCTGGGCTCAAGCTATCCTCTTACCTCAGCTTCCCGAGTAGCCAAGTAGCTGTGACTACAGGTGCATGCCACTATGCCCAGCTAATTTATTTTTATTTTTATTTTTTGTAGAGATAAGGTCTTCCTATGATGTCCAGGGTGGTCTTGAACTCCTCAGCACAAGTGATCTGCCTGCCTCAGCCTCCCAAAGTGTTTTGTGTATTATTCTTTATAACTTAATGGCCTAGTGAGATTATTCAAACATAAATCCTATTTCAAATTTAGTAAAGCTTAGAAAACAAAGAATGGTTGATTCACTTTACCTGAAAATTACAATAATCATTACACATAGTTTTTATTTACACATCATTTACCAGAGTGGATGAGAATATGGTATATAAGATTTTTTAAAATTTTTATTAAAATAGCTAACAAATAAAAAATGACATTTATGTATTATTGTTTTAAAACTGTTTCAAATTTGACCAGGTATTTTGACCATATATATATTTAAGATTTTCTTAAACAGGCTATATTTTTTACCTGATGAGTTGAAATCTGATAAATTTATACTAATCTATTAAAGTGTATTACATTGGTGAGAGGTATTTTAACACACCAAAATGTCAATTGATGAAAGCATTTGGAGGGGGTATATATATTTGTGTATTTATCTTTTTAAATATGATCTTGACCAGTAGAAGTCAAAGAATAATGTCCATGATATTGTGTAATTAATTTAACTTGAGTTTTCTTAAACACCACAATTTGTTTTTAGGGCTTTAATCATTTCTTATTTTTAAAACATAGTAATTAGACATCCATAAATTTACATGTAAAATCTATAATGAAAAAGTTTCCTCAAAATTGTAAACCAGGAAAAAATGATATTTTTATGTTAGAGATAATAACAAAGGTTTATCTTCTGAAGAAATTTCCTACCACATTTTTCTACAAACAAGAAAACTACAATTTGTGAATTTTGGTCTTGTCTTCTCAAATAGCTTAAGCAAAACTCAGGGTAATTTTTGTCTTTAAATAGCAGAATGTTACTTACTTAGAACATATCGACCTTTATACTACCCAGTTAATGAGTTCTTGTCCTGTTTTTCATTCATATTTATATGAAGGGATGTTTTTCTTAGAATTTTGTATTTTTTTTTTAAAATGTAACATTGAAATATGTTCACTCAACAACATATAATAATTTTTTTCCAAACAAATTCTTACGAATCAGCTAGTAGGTTACAATAATTCTGGGACTTTACAGATCAAAAATATTAAAGCAGAAAGCACTCACAAGTTATCTAAAAAAAAAAAAATCAATAACTGAATGGCAGAAGTATTATTGCTGTTCTATGTGGATGCTTACTTCAACCAAACAAAAAATACTGGAAATGCAAAGCATGATACAGTAGTGGACTATTAGTAGAGGTTGGTCCTTGATGTAACTAATATTTTTATGTGTTTGCATGGTAAGGCCATTATAAATAATGCATGAAAATTAACTCTTTATGGGTCAGTATTAATTGAAACTAAAGACTTGAGATTGAATTTGTTGATGAAACCCTTGGCTTAAATATGCACAAGAGCAATTAGGCTAAGGAATTAGAACATCTTGAAGCTTTGTTTTTGTTATAAAACACAACTTTTACATGTGAAGCTTTTTACCAGAAATTGTAGCTATTATGTCTAAAAGTTTGGCTTGAACTTGTGAAACCAGTTGTCAA
The DNA here is from genome assembly GCF_000001405.40 of Homo sapiens. Lineage (NCBI taxonomy): Eukaryota > Metazoa > Chordata > Mammalia > Primates > Hominidae > Homo > Homo sapiens. The sequence goes on along the minus strand of NC_000024.10, from coordinate 4,261,652 downwards.
ACTAGTTGTCACTAGTCAATGTTGTTTAGAGAAGCTATATATATATATGCAAATTGCCCTCCACCCTTCTAATAGTCTAAAGTTACACCCTCTGTTTCTTGATAGTGACTTGCAAGGGTTTTTATCAACATTTTATCTGATGTTAAAGACCAGACATCTGCTTTTCTTCAACAACAGCAAGATTGAGAACTTGTGTGAAGTAGAGGATAAGAGAGACAAGAGAAAGAAGAGCAAACAGAAGAGAAAGATTGTAAGGAGAAAGAGAAAGAGAAGGAAAAGGGAAGTCAAACAAAGGGTAAACAGTACAAAATAAAATAAACCTGTACCTTTTCATTTTACTGTTTCTTCAGCCTTCATATTTCTTATTTTAAAATGTTAGTTATTTTGCAATAGGTAACAAATTCATGATTCACATTTTAAATGATGAAAAATAGAACATACTAAAAGTTCTCCTTGCCAACCCCTAATCACCAGATATCCAGTTGCTCTCCTAGAGGCCATCAGTATTATTAGGTTGGGGTATTCTTCCACAATTTATTTATGCATATACAAGTATAATATCATTGATACTGTATTTTTGTTGCTTTCTATTTCTTTACGTAAGTTTAGTTTTTATACACATTATTCTGTATCTTTCTCTGTCATATAATAATTTCATGGAATATTTCTATATCAGTGTATAAAAAGCATACTTACTATCTTAGTACAATTATAAGCATTCTGTTTATGAATATTCACAAATTTCACATATCCGTGTGAACAAGTACTTATATAAAGATACAGAACATTATTAGAACCCTGTAAGACCTCCATGTATCTCCTTCCAGGCACTACCCACTAAAAGTTGACACTACTACTAAGTGGCTTTACTATTAAAATAGTCTTTTAAAAGTGTAATATTAAAGTTAGTAAAAATAAGTTGCAAAGTAACATTAATGAATATAACATGTTTAATCTGAACAACAAAAATTGCAAAAATCTAAAAGTCTTCAGAGTTAGTAGCACATTATTTGAAATCAATTATTAATACAATCCCAGTCACACATGGAGATTCATAAACGCAACAATTATTCAAGTTACAAAAGTTTCATGTTCATAAACAGATACATAATCTTATTAAAGCTGTAGTTCATTCAATATCTATTAGCTAATGGATTTCATTGTTATTACCATAAGGTTCTGGAAGTTGACTGAGTATTCATTTAGTATTAATGAACCTCAAGTTCACATCAAATTTTGTGGGAAATTTTGTAAATTGACATCAAGTTTTTATTCATTATCTGGTCAATGCTTGGGAAAGGAAAAGTGGCAGAAAGAATTGCAGAAGTAGGTGGAAAGTAAAAAAAAAATGAATCGAAGATCGTATCAGAGAAGTTTGTAAATATAGAGTAAATGGCTACCTTTATAATCAGTTTTAACCATTTCCCAAAATATCTTCTTTTAAAATCTTTTTTTCATGTATACTGAAACTCCCGATGTTATAATCAAGTCACACTGTGTAAAAGAATACATATAATCCTAGAGTGGGTAAACATAGTGATCTATTAATATCAGTGTCACAGATTTTACATCAAATAGTGTATCAGTTTGGTTAGCCTCAAAGAACAAGATTCAGACGTATAAGATACATACATTTTTATTTTTTTTCAAAAGTAATACATGCTTCTTGCTGAAAATCCAAAATTTTCAAATACATAGCAAAAAATAGAAATTCATCCATTTCTAATTCTACTCCACAGGAATAAACACTGTTAACATTTTTAAATATGCATGCTTGCAGACCCTGTTTCTACCAGTATGCTTTTATACGTGTGTATGCACACACACACATACACTCACAGTATTTTTAGAGGAATAGTTTTATATTTTAAATATTCTCTAAACTTGTTTTTGTTACCCAGCAATATCATGGATATAATCCACTGCCCAAATATATGGGTTTACATTTTCTCATTTTAATTAATTAATTAATTTATGTATTTTTTTTGAGACAGAGTCTCACTCTGTCACCGAGGCTGGAGTGCAGTGGTGCCCTCTCGGCTCACTGCAAGCTCCGCCTCCTGGATTCACGCCTCAGCCTCCTGAGTAGGTGGGACTACAGGTGCCCACCACCAAGCCCAGCTAGTTTTTTCTATTTTTAGTAAAGACGAGGTTTCACCGTGTTACCCAGGATGGTCTTGATCTCCTGACCTCGTGATCCGCCCACCTCGGCCTTCCAAAGTACTGGGATTACAGGCAGGAGCCACCGCGCCCGGCCCATTTTTCTCATTTTTAACAGCTGATTATGTTACTAGTTCTATAACACTGGACATTTGGAAAAACAAATTATAGCCAGTTTTTCCTATAACCAACTAATGTGTACTAATGAGCATATTGTATAAAATTATTTATCAGAAGTCTAATTGCTGGGTCAGAGTATGTACATTTAAAATATTGAATGGCATTGTTAAATGTCACTGCAATGTGGATGAGGCATTAAATAATCCCAGCAAAAATAGTGAAATTTCCCACTGTCTCATAACTTCAGTAATGCTGGCCTTGTTAATTTATATATGTATTTAGTCTGCTAGATAAAAAATTGCACTTTATCATTTTGATTTGCAGTCCTTTGTTACTAGTGAGATTGAGGATCTTGTTATATGCTAATTGGCTATTTGCATTTCCTCTGCTCTGAATTGCCTATATCCACCTTTGCTCATCTTTTAGATAATGTGCCTTTTCTTTCTTATGTTGAAGATGATCTCTCTATATGGATATGGTGTTTGTTATATATTTTGTCAAAATTTCTTCCCGTTATGTAAATTGTCTTTAGATTTTTTCAGACTTTTTAAATTTTAAAATTATTTTGGACTTACAGAAAATTTTCCAAAATGGTACAGAGAATTCCCAAACACGTTCGCCTGGCTTTTCCTAATGTAATCATCGTATATAATAATGGTACAATTACAGAAACCAGAACATAATATTGATACAATACTGTTAACATATCTGTAAACATTATTCAAATTCCACTATTGTTCATATGAATATTCCTCTTCTGTTCAGGATCCAATTCATTATCTCACATTGCACAGTGGTTGCCACGTCTCCTTAGCCTCTTCTGGATTGTGACAATTCTTCAGTTTTTCCTTGTCACTTATAACCTTGGCATTTTTGAAGAATTCTGGTCATTTTTTGAAGGAAATTTTCTCAATTTAGGTTTGTTTGATATTTACTCAGGATTAGATTAAGGTAACATAGCTTTTGCGAGAACACTACAGAGGTGATAGACCCATCTTAGTGCATCTAATCAGGGGACATTGATTTTTATATGCCTTATTAGTGGCCATATTCACTTTAATCATTTTGTTACAAAAGATATCAGCCAGATTTCTACCCTGTAAAGTCATTCATCTTTGTAGTCTATGCAAATATTGTAGAAAAATGATTGAGACTATGCAAATATCCTGTTTCTCACCGTACTTTCTGTCACTGATTTTAGCATCCATTGGTGATTCTCGTATGCAACAATGACTTTGGTATTCTAATGATAATGTTTTATTTCCATCATTCATTCCACAGTTACGAATTGGAATTCTTACCTCCAGGAAGACTTATCAATCCCCCCTCGTATATTTATTTATTCATTACATTTTTGTCTCTATCTGTTTGGACTCATGAATATTTATTTTATTTTATTCTATAGGTTATAACCTGATGTTATTATTATAGCTTTTATTACTTTTTTATGTTGTTTTAATAAGCCTTATCATTTTTTGAGTTCTTTCTTATTCTCTTGTGAGGTTTTCCAGACTCATTTTATAGGTTTCCGGCCCAAGTCCTGAAATTACCATTTCTCCAAGGAGCCTTGCTTTTTTTTCCTGTTAGATAATGATATTTAGAATTAACATTTGAGTGTTAGGTATGCTCATTGCTACCAGAGCATCGTTATTTCTAGGCCCCATAAGCAAACAGAGCTAGAAAGTACACATATGTATACTGATATACAAATAAATACGTTTATAATCATTTTGATATGCATGCATCTGACTCTATGTTAAAAACCATACTGATACCTGGGATCCCAGTCTAAAATACAGAGTTTATTCTTGCTTTCCCTCTGGCCTTATTTGTAAGTCCTTTTTTTTCGATAGTTAGAAATCTGGCTATTGTTACTCGTAGTATATATATTTATTCAATTATAAGTTTAAACATAACATAATTTTAACCCATATCCTGTGATAAACACACTTACTGTGTAGAGTTCAATAATTATGTAAATTCTTTTTGCCTTTATTATTAAAATATATTGTTACAACCCTCTTTCCCAAAATTATTTAAGATAGTTATTTTCTTCTCTACCATGTTCCGCATGATAATGCCATTTATTTTAATATAGGTAGCTTTGTTTGTTATTGTTTGTCATCCATTTTTCATTGTCTCCCAATGGTGAACATTATATATTAATTTTGGGGCAGTATGTGAAACATAACTATGATTTTAATAATCACAGCTATAAAAACGGTACACTGAGAGTAATGCCGCTCACTCTTCATACCTACTAACCTTTTCATCTTTTCCAATAACTTGTTCTCATTATCTACTCATTCAACTCTGTTTCCAAACTCATTAGCTTTTGGTTAATCTCTTCTGTATGTCTTTTTCAAACCTAAGCAAAAACATGTATTTCTTTCTCATGTCTTCATCATTTTTACAGCAAGGATAGTATACTGTAGATTTTTTTTTAGCATTTTGCTTATTTTCTTAATAATATATAAATCATTCCATACCACTCCTTTAAATTCTTTTATTTTGAAATAAATATAGATTTAAAAGAAGATTCAAAGACATGTACAGGGAGGTCCCCTGCACCCATTACCAATCTATCCCAAAGTTAATGTCTTTCATAATTATAGTACAATATCAAAACCAGGAAATTTACATTGGTACAATTCGTAGAGCTCATTCAGATTTCACCAATGATGCATGCAATCATTTGTGTGTTTATGTGAGCGTATAATTCTACACAAGCTTGTCACATGTGCAGTTTCATGTAGCCACAGCCATAATCACACTGAGTTATGCCATCATCATTAAACTCCCTTGTATCCCTTTCTAGCCAAATTCACCCTATCTACCATCCTTAATGCTTGGCAATGACTGACCTATTCTCTATCTGTACAATGTGATACAATATGCTTTTATACATCGCCAGATTTTATTTGCTAAAATGTTGATGTGAATTTTTGCATCTAAGATTATGAGAGATATTCGTTTGTAGTTTTCAATGTTTTAACGCTGTTTGTCTTACAGTACTATTAGGGTAAAACTGGCTTCAAAAATGAGCTGGGGAGAAGTGTTCCTTCCTCTTTTATTTTCTGAAAAAGATTATGTAAATCTGATGTTGATTCTTCTTTAAATGTTTGGTAAAATTCTGTGAATTCATTTGTGCCTGAACCTTTCTTATTTGGGAGATCTTTAATTATAAATTTATCTCATTTAAATGTTATAAGGCTCTTCAAGTTATATATGTTATCTTAGCTGAGTTATATTACTTTGTGGCATTTGAGGAATTGGTCTTTTTTTTCAAAGTTGATAAATTTATGAGCATAATTTTATTTGTAGTACTTCTTTATTATCCACCTTTCCCTTTTTATTCTTTTAATGACTGTAGGATCTGTTATGATATCAACTGTCACGTTCTTATTTGGTGATTACAGGCTTGTCTCTCCCTTCCCTCCTTCCTTCCTTCCTTCCTTCCTTCCTTCCTTTCTTCCTTCCTTTCTTCCTTTCTTTCTTTTTTCTCTCTTTTTCTTTCTTTCTCCCTTCTTTCCTTCCTTCCTTCCTACCTTCCTTCCTTCTTTCCTTCCTTCCTTTTTCTCTCTCTTTCTCTCTTTTCTTTTCTTCTTTTCTTTTGTTTTCTTTTATTTTCTTTTCTTTCTTTTCTCTTCTTTTGATGGAGTCTCCCTCTGTCACCCAGAGTGCAGTGGCACAATCTCGGCTCACTGCAGCCTCTGCCTCGGCCTCTGCCTCCACCTCAGCCTCTGCCTCCACATCTGACTGCACCTCTGCCTCCACCTCCCGGGTTCAAACAATTCTCCTGCCTCAGCCTCCCAAGTAGCTGGGATTATAGGCATCCACCACCACGCCTGGCTATTTTTTGTTTGTTTAGTAGAGACTGGGCTTCACCATATTGGTCAGGCTGGTCTAGAACTCCTGACCTCAAGTGATCTGCGCACCTCAACCTCCCAAAGTGCTGGGATTACAGGCGTGAGCCACCGCGCCCCACCTGAGTTTTCTTTCTGTTTTATCTTTTGTGGTATTGCTACAGATTTATTAAAAATTTATTTATTTATTTATTTATTTATTTATTTATTTATTTATTTCAGAGTCTCACTCTGTCACACAGGCTGGAGTGCAGTGGTGTGATCATGGCTCATTGTAGTGTTGACCTCATGGGCTCAAGGGAGTCTTCCCCCTTTGCCTGCCTGGCAGCCCCCTGAGTAGCTGGGACTACAGGTGCATGCCACCATGCCTGGCTAATTTTTGTATTTTTGGTAGAAAGAGTGTTTTGCAATGTTGCCCAGGCTGGTCTCAAACTCCTGGGCTCAAGCAACCCATCTGCTCTGGCCTCCCAGAGTACTGAAATTACAGGTGTAGGCCACCGTGCCTGACTGATTTAATTATGTTTGCATGTCTAGTATTTTTTCCCATTTTTTCATTATTTTTCTATTTTCAATTTCATTTATATTTGCTCTTATCTTTACTATTTCCTTCCTACTGCTAGCTTTGGATTTATTTTTGTGCTTGTTTTTCTGGTTTCTTCAGGTGGAAACTTAGATTATTGATTTGAGTGTTCTTCTTTTATAATGTAAGCATTTAAAGCTATAAGTTTCCCTTGCATGTTATCTACATATCACATATTTTAACATTTTGCATTTTAACTTTCATCCAGTTCTATGTATATTTTATTCATTTAATGTTTGACTTGTAACTACAGATTATTTAGAAATAAGTTATTTGAATTTCAAGTGTGTGAAAACTTTTGTATTTTCTTTCCATTATTGATTTTGAGTTCAATTTCTTTATATTCTGAAACCAGTCACTGTATGATTTCTATGATTTTAAATTTGGTGAAGTTTGCTTTATGATCCAAGATAATGTCTAACTTACTGTTATTGAGTGGATTGACCAGTGAGCATCAACTAAATCCTGCTGTTTGATGGTGATGCTCAGTTCTTCTAAATATTTTCTCATATTCAGTTCAGTAGATTTATCAATTATGGAACATTCAGTGCTGAAAATCCCAAATATAATTGTGGATTTGTCTCTTTCTCCTTTTAATACTATCAGGTTTTCCTTCAAGAATTTGAAGTTCTAGTTGTTTGCTACATACATATTTAGTATTACTACATTTTCCTGGTGGGTCGATAATTCTGTCACTGCATAATGCCCCTCTTTGTTCCTAGTACATTTCTTTTCATGAAATCTATTTTGTCTTAAACTACTATAGTCAGTTCTGCTTTTTTCAAAATTGAGGTTTGCCTGATATGTCTTCTTTTTAATTTTTTTATTTTTACTTTCAATGTATCTATGTAATTATACTTGATGTTACCTCTAAAAACTCTACCTAGACCTGGATTTTGAATGTTTCTAATTTTTAAAAAGTTTTACAATTTTACATTTTACATATAATTACCAAATCCATTTTGAGTTCATATTTGTCCAAGTTGTGAAACCTAGGTTGAAGTTCATTTTTGTCTGTAGGTATAACCTGTTAATCCAGCAACATTTGTTGAGGAATTCACCCATGTCTTTTTGTAGTACTTCTGGGTTTTCATTTTTTATATTTAGTTATCTAACCCTTTGGAGTTTTTCCTTGTGTATGTTTGAAGTATGAATCAACTTTTACCATTTTCCAAATGGCTACTTAGTTATCCTAGCACCATTTATTAAGACGTCATCATTTGCCTCAGAGATTTGCAAAGCACTAAATTTCCATATATACTTGGGTGTATATGTGGGCTTTCTATTTTATTTCACTTGCCAAATTGTCATCTGTTATTATCACACTTTGAACTATATAGAATTTTTAAAATGCCTGGCAGGGCTAGTCCTCCCTAACAATATCAACATTTCAAAATCCATTAAAGAGCTTGTTGGCATATATATTGGGATTACATTAAATCTATATATTAATCTAGACACAATTAATATCTTCATAATTTTGAGACATCCAATCCAATTACAGGTGATACCTTTCCATTTGCTCAAAATACTTTATCTTTCAGTAGCATTGTAACATTTTTATCATATACTGTAGTTTTTTACATTTCATGTTGTTTATTCCTAAGTATTAATCTTTTTTGTTGCTATTTTATATGTGGTTTTCTCCACTATTATATCATCTAATTGGCTATTTTGGGGTGTATATAAAAACTATTTAATGTTAATTGTACATTAATTTTAAGTACTACTGATTTATTATTTTATTGTTTTAGTATTATTATTGATTATTGTGTTGGTTAATTTTATGTGTCAACTTGACTTACTACAGAGTAACTAGATTAAACATTATTATGGGATGTGTCTTTGAGGGTGTTTCAGGAGGGTGCTAGCATTTGAATCCATAGACTCAGTAGATTGATCTCCAGAATGTATCGTCCAGTCTACTGAGGACTTGAAGAGAACAAAAGGTAGAAGAAGAAAGAATTCACCCCTTACTGACTGCCTGCTTGAATGGAAACATTTTGCCTCATTGTCTCTAGTACTCAGACTGAGATTTACACCATTGGCTCACTTGGTTCTCTGGTGTTTGTTCCTTCAGGCGCAGACCGAATTATACTACACCACTGGATTTCCTGGGCCTCCAGCTTGTAAATGGCAGATCATGGGACTTCTCAGACTCCATAATTGTGAATTGTAGAGTAATGGTTCACACGATTATAGTAGTGGAATTGGTTCACACAATTATAGTATATATATAGTATACTACTACTTGTGTTTTTCTGGGAAACGTGGACTAATAAAATTATTTAGACTTCTTCATGTACACCATCATATTCTCTGCACATAAAGTCTTATTTCTATACTCATCCTATGTGTCCAAATGATTTTTTTGTCTAATTGCATTGGATACTAATTCCAGTGCATTTTTGAACAGTAGTAATGATAGTGGCAACTCTTGCCATGTTCCAGATGTTAGTAAAAATCCTGTAGTGTTTCAACATCAAGATACTAGCTTTAGGACAAAGGTACATGTATTTTACCGTATAAAAAGAGTACATCACAATTCTTATCTTTGAGTGCTTTATTTTGAGCAGGTGTTAAGTTATGGTAAAGGAGTTTTAGCATCGGTATAGATAATCATATGATTTTTGCTTTATATCTATTGATATGTTGCATTACATTAAGCAATATCTTAATATTGAGCTAAGCTTGTATTCCTGAGAGGAAAAAATATCTCATTAAGTCATTGTGTGTGTGTGTGTGTGTGTGTGTGTGTGTGTGTGTGTGTGTTTTAATGTGGTGTTAGATTTTGTTTGCCAATGCCATTTTAATGTATTTGTGCTAAAACTCAAAATATTCATGAGCAATGGCATGAGTTTTTAAATTTTTCTTTTTGGTTTAGGTGCCAATGTTTCCTGTTTCATGGCAAGAATTAAGGAGTTTTCATTTCATTTTCAGCACTTCGAAATTTTTCTAAAGCACAGTGGCTATCAGTTCTTTGAAAGTGTGATAGAAATTCCATATGAAAAGTTCTGTGTCTGCTGTTTAGAAGGAAGTAGTTGCTTAATATTAATAACTATTTCTTCTGTGGAAAATGGTCTCTTTAAGTTTATAGGTCTAATGAAACCAAATTTTGCTAATCTGTATTAAGTAGAAAATTATTTTATGGAGTTTTTATATTTATTTGTAGAGGGGCTACACATTTTTCTCTTACATTTTAAAAACTATCTTCTGTTTCAATTGTCATTTTCTTTTTGACCTTTCTTATATTTGTGCTTTTTCCTTTTCTTCTTGATGATGTTAGCTACTAGTTCATCCATTTTGTTTATTTGAAAATGCAGGATTTTGATTTAACTGTAATATTCTGTTCTCTACTTCATTGATTTCTGCTTTTATCACTATGATTTTCTTTTTTTAATTTTTAGATGAGAATTTATTTAAAATATCTTATTGATAAAAGTCTTTACTGCTATGAAAGCTTATTTGATTATTACTTTAAATGCATTCTCTTCTTATGATATGTGCTTTTTTTATTGTCATTATATTTTAAAAATATTGTTATTTTTATTGTTATCATGTTTTGAGATCTTTCTTATTCCCTTGTGAGGTTTTTCAGACTCATTTTATAGCTTTCCGGCCCAAGTCCTGAAATTACCATTTCTCCAAGGAGCCTTAATTCCAGGGATGAAGTTGACTTGATCGTGGTGGATAGGCTTTTGATGTGCTGCTGGATTCAATTTCCAGTATTTTATTGAGGATTTTTGTTTCAATGTTCATCAGGGATATTCGCCTGAAGTTTTCTTAATTTGTTTTATCTCTACCAGGTTTTATCAGGTTCATGCTGGCTACACAGAATGAGTTAGGGAAGAGTCCTTCCTTTTTAGTTGTTTGGAATAGTTTCAGAATAAATGGTATCAGCTCCTCTTGGTTCTTCTGGTAGAATTCAGCTGTAAATCTGTCTCTTCCTGGGCTTTTTTTAGTTGTTAGGCTATTTATTACAGCCTCAGTTTCATAACATGTTGTTGGTCTGTTCAAGGATTCAACTTCTTCCTGGTTCAGTCTTGGGGAGGGTGTATGTGTTCAGGAATTTATCCATTTATTCTCGACTTTCCAGTTAATCTGCATAGAAGTGTTTATAGTATTATCTGATGGCTATTTGTATTCCTGTGAGGTTAGTGGTTACATCCCTTTTTCATTTTTTACTGTGTCTGATTCTTTTTTCTTCTTTATTAGTCTAGCTAGAAGTCTGTTTTTTTTTTTTTGAAGAGCTTCTGGATTCATTTATTTTTTGAAGGTTTTTTTTTTTTTTGTCTCTATGTCCTTCTGTTCTGCTCTGATCTTGGTTTTTTCTTGTCTCCTGCTAGCTTCTGGTATGTTTGTTCTTGGTTTCCTAGTTCTTTTAGTTGTCATATTAGGGTGTCAATTTGAGATCTTTCTTGCTTATTGATGTGAGCATTTGGTGCTATAAATTTCTCTCTTAACACTGCTTTAGCTGTGTCCCAGAGATTCTGGTACATTGTCTGCCTTAATTTTATTATTTACCCAGGTGTCATTCAGAAGCAAGTTGTTTAATTTCCATGTAGTTGTTTGGTTTGGGGTGAGTTTCTTAATCTGGAGTTCTAACTTGATTGCACTGTTGTCTGAGAGACTGTTATTACTTCAGTTCTTTTGTATTTACTTCCAATTATGTGATTGATTTTAGAATAAGTGCCATGTGGCACAGAGAAGAATGTATATTCTGTTGTTTTTGTGTGGAGAATTCTGTAGATATATATCAGGTCTGCTTTAGTTCAAGACCTCAATATTCTTGTAAATTTTCTGTCTCAATAATCTGCTATTGACAGTGAGGTGTTAAAGTCTCCTACTATTATTGTGTGGTGTATTACTGCTGCTGATAAACACAAACCCAAGACTGGGCAATTTAAAAAATAAAGAGGTTTAATTGGACTTACAGTTCTGTGTGGCTGGGGAAGCTTCACAATCATGGTGAAAAGCAAGGAGGAGCAAGTCATGTCTTACATGGATGGCCGCAAAGAGAGCTTGCGCAGGAAAAATCCCTTTTGTAATAACCATCAGATCTCGTGAGACTTACTATCATGAGAACAGCATAGGAAAGACCTACCCCCATGATTCAATTACCTCCAACAAGGTCCCTCACACAATAAATAGGAATTCAACATTTGATTTGGGTGGGGACACAGCCAAACCATATTATGTGGGAGTCTAAGTCTCTTTGTAGGTCTCTAAGGACTTGTTCGGTGAATCTGGGTGCTCCTGTATTGGGTGCACATATATTTAGCATAGTTAGCTCTTCTTGTTATATTGATTATTTACCATTATGTGATACCCTTCTTTGACTTTTTTGATTTTTGTTGGTTTAAAGTCTCTTTCATCAGAAACCAGGATTGTAACCTCTGCTTTTTTCTGCTTTCCATTTCTTGGTAAACTTTTCTCCATCCCTCCATTCTGAGCCTATGTGTGTCTTTGCACATGAGATTGGTCTCTTGAATACAGCATATCAATGGGTCTTGACTATATCTAGCTTGCCATTCTGTGTCTTTTAGCCCATTTACATTTTAGATTAATATTGTTATATGTAAATTTAGTCCTGTCATCATGATGCAAGCTGGTTATTTTGCAAACTTTTTGATGTAGTTGCGTCACTGTGTCATTGGTCTTTGTACTTCAGTATGTTTTTGCATTGGCTGGTAATAGATTTTCCTTTCCATACTTAGTGCTTTCTTCAGTAGCCCTTGCAAGGCAGGTCTGCTGGTGACAAATTCCCTCAACATTTGCTTGTCTGAAAAGAATTTTATTTATTTTTCACATATGAAGCTTAGTTTGGCCAGATAGGAAATTCTAAATTAAAAATTATTTTCTTTAAGAATGCAGAATATTGGCCTCTAATCTATTCTGGCTTGTAGAGTTTCTGCTGAGAGGTCTGCTGTTACTCTGATGGGCTTTCCTTTGTAGGTGACCTGGCCTTTCTGTCTGGATGCCCTTAACAGTTTTCCCTGCATTTTAACCTTGGATAATCTGATGATTATCTGTCTTGAGGTGGATCTTCTCATGAAGTATCTTATTGGGGTTCTCTGGATTTCTTGAATTTGAATGTTGGCCTGTCTTCTTAGGTTGGGGAAGTTCTCCTGGGTGATATCCTGAAGTGTGTTTTTGAACTTGGTTCTGTTCTTCCCATCTTTTCCAGGTACCCCAATCAGTCACAGGTTCAGTCTTTTTACATAATCCCATAGTTCTCAGAGGTTTTTTTCATTCCTTTTCATTCCTTTTTTCTCTGATCTTGTCTGCCTGTCTTATTTCAGCAAGATAGTCTTCAAGCTCTGAAATTCTTCCCTCTGCTTTTTTATTCGGTTATTGATACTTGTGGTTGCATTGTGAAGTTATTTTGTTGTGTTTTTCTGCTCTATCAGGTCATATATGCTCCTCTCTAAACTATCTGTTCTGGTTAACAGCTCCTGTAATGTTTTATTATGGTTCTTAGCTTCTTTGCATTGGGTTAGAATATACTCCTTTAGCTCAGTAAAGTTCATTATTACACATCATTTGAAACCTACTTCTGTCAATTCATCTATCTCAGACTTTGCCTGGTTCTGTGCCCTTTCTGGAGAGGTGTTGTGATCATTTTCAGAAATAGAGGCACTCTGGATTTTTGAGTTTTCATTGTTTTTTTTTTGTTGTTTCTCATCTTCTTGAGTCTATCTAACTTTGATATTTGAGGCTGTTGGCTTTTGGATGGGTTTTTGTAGGAACTTTTTCGTTGAGGTCGTTGTTGTCATCTTCTGTTTGTTTGTTTTTCTTTTAATAATCAAGCCCATTTTCTATAGGGCTGCTGTGTTTTCCTGGGGGTCCACTACAAATCCTATTCCCCTGGGTCCCTCCTGCACCTGGAGGTGTCACCCATGGAGGCAACAGAACAGCAAAGATAGCTGCCTGCTTCTTTCTCTGGGATCTCTGTCTTAGAGGAGCAAGACCTGTCGACAGCATGAACATTCCTGTATAAGGTCTCTGGTGATTCCTATTGAGGGATCTCACCCAGTCCAGAGTCACAGGATCTGAAACACACTTAATGAAGCACTCTGCTTGCCCGTTGGCAGATGATGTGTGCTGTGTAGGGGGACATCTCACTCATAGGGACTGCCCAATATCCTCAGAGCCAGCAGGCAAGGCTAAGTCTGCTTATCCTCAGAGACTGTGGCTACCCCACCCCCAAGGGGCTCAGTTTCAGGGAGATCAGATTTTTGTCTCTAAACCCCTGGCTAGAATTGCTGAAATTCCTGCAGGGAGGCCCCCTCCCAGTGAAAAAGGGATGGATCCGGGTCTGACCTAAAGAGGCAGTCCAGCCACGATCTGCCACAGCCACTGTGCTGCACTCTGGGGAATTCCTCCTGGATCCAAATCATCCAGTCTCCCTGTTACCAGCAGGGGAAAAAATGGCAGACTGGCACTGCGGTGATGGCTGTCACCCCTCCTGCAAGGAGCTCAGTCATCTTAGGCAGCAGGCAGCTGCAGTGTTGACAGCCAACCCTTTCCCCCAGGAACTTGGTAGTCTTAGGCAGTCTCCAGCCAAGTGACTGCTGAGAATCTGCATATCTCTATGCTTGAGACCCAAGGCCCTGGTGGTATGGGCTCATGAGGAGGCTGTGTTGATTCATAGGTTGCACAGCAAAAAGCATAGTTTCCCAGACAAGGTAGTATGATCACTCACTGCCTCCTTTGGCTTGGGGTGGGAGCTCCCCTTGCTCCAGATGGCTCCCAGGTGGACCATCACACCACCCTGCTTTTCCTTGCTCTCTGTGGGTCACGCCAACTGCCTAGTAAGTCCAAATGAGAGAACCTGAATACCTCACTTGCCTGTGCAGGATTCACTCGTAGATTTTGTTCCTCTCACTGGGAGCCTCTGACCGCAGCTGTTTCTAGTTGGCCATCTCAGCCCCTCCCGTTGTTTAACATTTTGATAGAAAAAGAGGCTTAGAAAAATCTGAAAAAACCTAAGTGAAATGAGGAAATTTGGCCGGGTGCGGTGGCTTATGCCTGTAATCCCAGCAGTTTCAGAGGTCAAGGCAGATCACTTGAGGTCAGGAGTTCAAGAACAGCCTGGCCAAAAAGGTGAAATCCTGTCTCTACTAAAAATACAAAAATTAGCTGGGCAGAGTGGCAGGCACCTGTAATCCCCAGGAGAATCGCTTGAACCTGGGAGGCAGAGGTTGCAGTGAACCATGACTGTGCCACTGCACTTGAGCCTGGGTGATAGGGCGAGACTTCATCTCAAAAAAAAAAAAAAATTGAAATAAGGAATGAGATTTTTTTAAAAGCTCTTATGTTAGTTTTACCTGTGGTCTGATATATACAACTCTTCACCACTTTAGCCTTTCATTCCAAAACTTGTCTTTTATTGTTTGCAAAGGTTATGCTTAAAATATACTCATCGTTAGAAAGTAGAAAAACAATTTATCCAAAGCTAGGATTGACTAGCTTTATCTCTCTCTCTCTCTCTCTCTCTCTCTCTCTCTCTCTCTGTCTGTCTCTTTGAAAGAAGAAGGAAGAGAGAAGCAGGAAAATAGAGAGACATATAGAAATGTTTGGATTAGACATCTACTTTTTCAATGCTGAGATAAAGGGTGATTAGGTTGTAATCATGTAGGTTAAAGACATTTCTAACCTTTCCAGTAATATCTATCATAGTTTAAAACCTATCAGACTTGGAAAACTCGTGCATTCTTAATATTTTTAGGTTCTATGTTGAATGGGCCTCACTCACAGGAAATAAATAGCAGACTAGAGAACACAATCCTAAAAGTTTAATATTTATATGAAGTATAATTAGAATCTCAGTTTAACAAGGAATGAAATAGGAATGTACTAGGAAATTTGTGATTAGACGTAGAAAGCGAGAGCACATTACCAGAAACAGTGTGAAAACATGTCCTAAATTTTGTAAAATGATATCCTTAAACTAGCAGAAAAAATAAAATTTACATTGTGGGTGAACAGATAAGCATGACATTTCAAGTGATTATCATAATTACCTTCTTGTATTATTTCCTTTGCAATCTAGAGGAATAAAAGAAGGGTAGAAAGAAATATTTCTTGAAAGAGAAAGGAAAATAATACAAATAAAGAAAAGAAATTTGTCACATTCAGATCTGGAAACAACAATCCAATTAAAATTCTAATTAAATTGTAATTATTAAACTACAGTACCTGTTGCAAAGAAAATACGTGACGAGTTTATGCTTCTAAACACTTAAAGTACTATATAAACTAAATTCTTAGTAATATGTCCCTTCATCTGAAATGCTACATTTATTTCCTTGCCAAAGGATAATTTTAGTCACATAAATATTTTATGTTGTAAATTTTTGAAAAATATAGCCTTTGAGTATATATACCAATTTCTGCTTGTTAAATATCATGTAGGAAAAGATGTTCATTGCTATAAATAAAATATTATTTAAAGTATAGAATTTTGAGAGTGTATTTTAAATTTAATATAACCACAAAATAAATAAACTCATCTTAAACTCTTGATAAACAAAAATGCCTAAAAATACAAATATTGAAAACTGTTATAATTCAAAAAAATGCACCCTTAGAGTCATTCTCTATTTATTGTCTCTGAAGCAGACCTGTTTCTAATTTAAACGTACTATGTCTTAAATATGAACACAAAACCTTGTATACATGGTTAGGCAGAGCAGCTCAGAGAGGTTGGAAGTGTTTAGATGTATAAGTGGTATTAAGTTTTGCTTAAATATTAAAGATCCCAATGACTTCATCAAAAGAGGAAACTGATTAGTTATATGGCTTAGCCTAAAAGTTATTTCATTTTTAAAACTTTTTTTTTTTTTTTTACTTTTGGGTTGGTCTAGGCCTTTTAACTCCATGACTTCATCATTTTGCAGAATGCGTTATATTATATAAAACACACTTATGTTTCCTAAATTATGATTGATGTTATAAATAATAGTAAGAAGTGTATTATGTCAGTTTATTTTTAAAAAGTGTTAATGTTCTGTAAAAAAAATAAATTTAATGAGTTTGATTCTTTATTTGGGCAATCAGTTATCTCTAAAGAAGGGTGTATGCATCCAATCATTGCACAACATGGTTACTTGGGGAGTGGGAAAATACTAGAATTGCTGTTTATTTTTATTTTTACTGTGGTCCTTTTATTTTTGTTTTTTTTTTGTACATTTTGTAATGTATATATAATCTATACATAACATATTTTTTGTCTATACTAGCACTACCCAATATAACTCTCTGCAATGATAGAAACAGACTATAAAGTAGAATGATAGCCACTAGATATAAGTGGCTGATAAGAACATGAAATGTGAACAATAAACTGAGAAATTGGATTTTTAGGTTTATCTAGTATTAATTAGTTTGAATTTAAACTTAAATAGCTACATGTGGCTCATGGCTACTCTACTGGACAGTAAAAAATCTATAAATGTATAATAGTTTATGTATTATGCAGTTTGTGTTTGTGTGTGTGTTCGTGTAAGTTGACTGATTTTCATTTTTATCCTC
This sequence comes from Homo sapiens, assembly GCF_000001405.40. NCBI lineage: Eukaryota > Metazoa > Chordata > Mammalia > Primates > Hominidae > Homo > Homo sapiens. The sequence goes on along the minus strand of NC_000024.10, from coordinate 4,244,390 downwards.
TTATTTTTATACCCCATATATTCCAGTGAAGATTTATTAATATTTATACTACCACAAATATAAAAGAGAAATAAGTGCCAGTAATCCCAATTCTTTAAACTGTCAATAGATCCCACTTCTTCAGTCAGCACATGGAGAATTTTTTCTGTTCTTTACAGTGTAGTATAATTATATGACACATATGAACAGTCACTGCCTCATGAACTGGTCTGATTATTGAGGCACAAGGTCAGTATCAAAGCCAAAAGCATACATACACTGTGATTCTCTGGTGGTTTACTATTCTTAGTGCTCAGGCTTCCAGGTTTCAGTTTCCAGCTTTCAGAGTACCTTGGGAATAGTGGTTGAGGCAGCTGCCAGATAAATAATTATATAATAAGATAGGATGTGAAAGCAATTGAAGTGGGAAATCAGACAGAGCAGAAGAAATATTCATTCTCCATTGCTGTTTTATATGGTTCTTGGCTACATCTTTTACATCAAGAAATAAAAAGTAAATGTCTATTCTTGTACTTCTTTTCTGACAGAAAGTTTAACTGGCAAGAATTTCGGTATTGATTGGAAAATACCTTTCGTAAATTTTATAAATACATGTTCTTTTTTCACTCTAGGACTTTTTGGGCTACAATTCTAAAAGCAGTAAATAACTTACAGAAGACCAGTATTTCTAATAAAATGTTATTTTTTACCTGCTTTATATGATAAATAGATACCTAGATTCCCTTGAGCTATGTGCATTTTATACTCAGTCTAGACCTTATTAAATGATACAAAAATGATAATTTAAATAATTTATTTCTAGTTATCTCAATTACATAATAAATTTATTAAAAGTATGAAACTGCTCATTTATAATATAATCATGCTGGTCTTTTGTGAGAATATTTTATATAAACTCATATCATTTTATATAGTGATACAACATCAGTATGGTCATTTGATAATTGAGTTCGATAAATACAAGAAAATTGTCATCAGATGGCTGACTAGAGGCACCCAACACTCATCTCCACAAAGAAGGACCAAAGCAACAAATAAATAACTGCATCTTGAGTAGAGTGACTGAGACAGAAGACTGGAACTCAGCAAGAAAGTGATGAAAATGCTCTGAGACATAGAAACTCTAGACGGCAGCATAGAAATGGAAGAAAAATACCCAGCCAGATCCAGCTCAGAGCCAAGAAAATGTACACACCAGATCCCCAGCATTCCCAATTATCACAAAAGGTGCCTTAATTTCTATCTACAAGACAACCCTACAATCCTCACAGGCCCTGAGCTCAGTATAGAAAGTTTTCTGGAGTCCATATGGCTGTTTTTCTCCAAAAGAGGAAACACACAATGAGACACCACCTACTCCTCAGTACACTGGCTACTATAGCAGGCAACATTTACAGAATGGAGCCACTGAGGGAATATATTATGCCCTGGAGGCCAATAGTATTTAAATCTCCACATCCCTGAGGTTTGTCATCACCCCATTTTACCAACACAGAATGTTTCAACATTGTCATCCCAGTAAGACTCAATGGTACAGCTGGGACCCCACTTGAACCCATATTTCCCTATACTCCAGAGAGCAGGGGTTCCAGCACAACAGGGAGGCTGTTCCCAGGATCAGGGACACCATTATGCACACTCCCCAGGCACCTAGAACTGGTACCTTGTGCCTACCTCTGGCAGTAATCCAACCATCTCCAGCACCAGGGCCACTGTGTGCTGTATGCACCCATCAAGAACCCAGCACTGACCTTCCTAATGCTTCTCACTAGTGTTGAACCACTATCCTTGACCAGTGAAGCTGCTGCACACAGTGCATACCTACCAGGGACTGGGGGATGAACTGCCTGTTGTGCCACCACAGGTGACACCAGCTCCATGACTGGCAGTGCTGCTGTACCTGTCACATATTCCCAAGGACTTGAGAATAAGCCTGACCACTGGCCCTCACCCCTGAAAAAGTCTTGCCACTGCCTCCACAAACACCTGAAGTGTAGGCCACTGAGGCACAGATACTAATGACAGTTATTGAAGCCTAAGAAATTGCACAGAGACTACACTATTGCACCTACCCAGTACCCAGAGCAAAGTACCCTACCTAACCAACAATACAGGAAATGAGCACAGAGAAATGTTTTTCCCTTAAAAAACTACTCTGTGAAATTGGGAGAGGTTACCATTTCACCAGATGTGCAGATATAAACGTAGGAACACATGAAACATTGAAAATAAAAAAAAAGAGGATATAAAACATCCAAAAGAACTCAATAAATTTCCAGTAACTGAACCTCGAAAAAGAAAATCTATCAAATCTTTGAAAAAAAAATCAAAATAATGTTCTTAAGGAAACTCAGCTTGATACAAGAGTATACAGATAGACAATTCATCAAAATCAGGAAAACAATTAATGATCTGAATAAGTTCAACAGAGATACATATTATATAAAAATATCAAACAGAAATTGAGGAACTATAAATTCAATGAATGAAATAAAAAAAATACAATATAGAGCTTCAACCACAGACTAGATCAAGCAGAAGAAATAATTTCTCAATCTGAGTATGGCTCTTTTAAAATAACCCAGAGGGGGAAAAGAATAAATCACAAAAAAATGAAGAAAGCCTATGGGACTTACAGAACACCATTAAGCATGCAAATTTTAACATTTGAAGAGACTGGAAAATGAGAAGAGACAGGAAAAGGCATAGAAAATACATTTGATAAAACAGTAGCTGAAAACGTCCCAACTCTTGTGAAAGATATGGACATCCAAATTCAGTAAGCTCAAATGTTTTCAAATAGATCAAACTCACAAAATGTTCTTTCTCAAGGCATATTGTAGAAAAACTGTCAAAAGTATAAGATGAAGTGAGGATTTTTTAAATGGCAAAAAAAGCATTAAGTCACATATAAGAGGATACTCATTATATTAACAGCAGATTTCTCAGCAAAAATCTTTACATGACAAGAAAAAATGGGAAGACATATTACAAGCTAAAAAATCTGTCTACTAAGAATACTATACTCAACAAAGCTAGCTTTCAAAAATAAAGAAGAAATAAAATATATCTCAGAAAAGCAAAAACTGAGGGAATTCATCACCACTAAACTGGTCCTACAGGATGTGCTTAGGGGAATCTGATATCTAGAAATAAAAAATAATAACTATCATTATGATAATATGCAAAAGTATAAAACACACTGGTAAAGAAGATCCACAAATGATTAAAAAAAAGCAAACTGTATTACACACAAAAAACATGAAAAGTCAAAGATAATCAGAAAGAAAAGAATAAAATGAACAATATATACAAAACTACCAGAAAATAATGAACAAAATGACACAAATAAGTTTTCTCCTATTTATGATAACCTCAAATATAAATGGATTAAACTCTCCAACTAAAATATACAAACTGGTGGAATAATTTTTTTGGCAACCCAACCATATACTGTTTACAAGAAACTCAGTTTATCTGTAAACATACATATAGACTGAAAGTAAGTACTTTATGCAAATAAAACCCAAAAATAAGCACGAATAGCTCTACTTATATTAGACAGACTTTATCCATAAAAAGTATAAAAGGAGAACAATAAGGTCATTATATAACAATAAAGTGATCAATGCAGTAAGAGGATCCAAAATATATGGATATGTATAAATGCAACACTGGAGCACCAAGATATGTAAACAAATATTATTATATCTAATGGGGAAGATAAACTCCAATACAGTAATAGTTGGGGACTTCAATACCCTACTCTCAGAATTAGACAGATCACTTAAACGGAAATCAACACAGAAACATTGCATTTAAAATGCATGAGAACAAATAGGCCTAAAAAACAAGAACAGTTTATTCAACATCTTTAGTATATACAAATTCTTCTCATCAGCATATGGAACATGTTTCTGATAGACCATATTAAAGGCCACAAAAAGTCTCAATAAATTTTAAAAGAAATCAAAATCATATTAAGTATCTTTCTTCACCATAATAGAATAAAAGTAGAAATCAATAACAGGAGG